>NC_000012.12:32428979-32581675 GCF_000001405.40 Homo sapiens | reverse complement strand
TTTCAACGCTTAACTTTTCTTGATCCTTGCACTGTTTAATAATGTGACTAGTTAGTAAAGACTTAGTTAGATATAATACTTACGTATTTATCATCTCTTCCTAACATTTTTACTTATTGATGTTTCTTAACATTTTTAAATAGTACAGTGTAGCCAGTCCTTAATTTATGAACAAATTATGAACCAAAGAGTTTTTTATTTGGAAGGCATAATGAATACTCTCAAAACTTTTTTATTCATGCTGCCATACCTTTTTAACTGGTCTCTTTGTTTCCACTCTGATCCCCTCCACTAGAACCTCTACAAGTCAGTCACAAACTCTGAGGGCTTCCTCACACACTCAAGGGAAAACTCAAGTCCCAGTGACAGCCTATGAGATTCTACATACTCTAGTTCCCAAAGTGCATGGCCTCATTAGATTTCATTCTTCCTTAACTCACTGTGTTCTTGCCATACTCCTTGCTGCTCCCATTCTTAATAACCAAGTGTATGTGTCTTGGGGTCTTTGCAGCTGCTGTTCTCTGCTTAGGACAATCTCTCCTAAAACACTGGTATTTCTTCTTATCATTCGGGGTTCTGTTCAGGTATCACATCTCCAAAGAGGCTTTCCTAGATTCATCTATCATAACAGCACTCTCCATCACTAACTCCACATCTGATTTTATTTTTCTTTAAAGTCCTTATTACTGCTTGACATAACAGTAGTCTTAATAGGAGAATGAAACTTACTCCCAACATATAACAATATTCCTGTGGAAATATTTGTACAGATTTTTTTTTTTTTTTTTTGAGACGGAGTCTCACTCTGTCACCCAGGCTGGAGTGCAGTGGCGCAATCTTGGCTCACTGCAAGCTACGCCTCCCGGGTTCACACCATTCTCCTGCCTCAGCCTCCCGAGTAGCTGGGACTACAGGCGCCCGCCACCACGCCCGGCTAATTTTTTGTATTTTTAGTAGAGACGGGGTTTCACCGTGTTAGCCAGGATGGTCTCGATCTCCTGACCTCGTGATCTGCCCGCCTCGGCCTCCCAAAGTGCTGGGATTATAGGCATGAGCCACCGCGCCCGGCCATTTGTACAGATTTTAATCTAGGATTCTGGGAGTGGGGTGGGGAATGGAGCACAAAACTGTGGGCTATACTCTTTGAAAGATTCCTGTGACCTAAACGAGAAGAAATAAAGCAACTAAAACTCGGTGAGGTTGCAGACTTCCTCTCTGCTTTACTCCTACCTCTTAGCGTGGCGCTTGACACAGGGGAAGTACTCAATAAATATTTGATGAACTTTGAATAACCATGATAATGATGATGATTGTGACAATAATAACAGCCAGAAACATTTATTAAGTGCTTACTAAGAACCACAAACTATAAGAAGCCCCTTACAAT
Organism: Homo sapiens; assembly: GCF_000001405.40. NCBI lineage: Eukaryota > Metazoa > Chordata > Mammalia > Primates > Hominidae > Homo > Homo sapiens. The sequence continues at coordinate 32,580,288 of NC_000012.12, read as the reverse complement.
AATTACCTTGTTTCATCCTCACAATAATTCCAAAGACAGGGATCCCATAGAGAAATCTAGGCTTAGAAATTAAGGTGGCCAATGTCACAATGTAACAAGCAGAAAAGCCAGAGGTCAAACCATGAATCCAACTCTAAATCCCATGGTCTTCACCCCAAGTTATGATGTACTGGAGCAGAAGGACAGAATGAGCATCAGATGAATAGGCTGTAGGCAAAATGAAGGAAGAAAGTCTAGGGTTGATTATCTTCCCCTGTGCAGGTAACGGGATAAAGGGAGGTGGGGAAGGAAACAGCAAGCAGCCTGGTCCCAAGGACAATGCTGAGATGTGTCACCTTTGCTCCCAACCCACCCTTCCCAATCACTGCTGATCTGGACTGGAGAATGAAACAGGGAATAAAAGTAAACAGCAAGAAAGTGATGAGGGAGGAAAAAAGATACAGGTAAAGTCCAACACCAGAGGAAAGAAAGGATAAATTGAGTAGGGGAAAATGTCATATATATAAAAATTGGAGGTGGGCAATACAAATAAATGTTACACACTCTTCAGTTGAGATTTGCCCCCTTGAGGAGGACAACTTTGGCCTGGATAATTTCCCAAGTAGTCTTTAGAGATTTGAATCAAACTGTCCTCCTTCTCCTGCCCACATCAGTCTCTGGATTCCCTGGTGGAAAGATCCTCAACAGATCCTCTGAAACAAATTTAAGCATGTTCAGGTCTTATCTAAAGGATGGCTTTGAATGAGAGCTGCAAATGTCCCATAGTAAGTGATATCAAGGGTATGAGTAGGGAGGGAGAGGAGACGGGGAAGGATAACGTGGGTAAGGAGTTAGTAAAAGCAGTAGTTGAACCAGTACTTGGAAGATTCCTGCTGCTTTGTGGATGCCAAACCATAAGGAGAAAACAGTTGACCTTGGAGTGTCCATGGGAAAAACCAATGTTCCGGCCGGGCACGGTAGCTCACGCCGGTAATCCCAGCACTTTGGGAGGCCAAGGCGGGCAGATCACCTGAGGTCAGGAGTTCGAGCCCAGCCTCAACATGGAGAAACCCCGTCTCTACTAAAAATACAAAATTAGCCAGGCGTGGTGGTGCATGCCTTGTAATCCCAGCTATTCAGGAGGCTGAGGCAGGAAAATTGCTTGAACCTGGGAGGCGGAGGTCATGGTGAGCTGAGATCGTGCCATTGCCCTCCAGCCTGGGCAACAAGAGCAAAACTCTGTCTCAAAAAAAAAAAAAAAAAAAAAAAACCACTAATGTTCAGGTCTGTAGAAACATATTCTTATTTCTAAAATCTTAAAGTGGTTCCTAGGTTAAAAAGAGTACTCTCTCTTAACCTGAAAGAGAGAAAGAAGGAGGAATAGGAGAAAGAAGGAAACCACAGTAAAAATTAAAGAAAATCTACTTGCTCCAAATCTGTCATCTTAACAAACTAGTGCTACGATGTTTTTTTTTTTTTAAGGCAGGGTCCCACTCCGTCGCCCAGGCTGGAGTGCAGTGGCACAATCTCGGCTCACTGCAGCCTTGACCTCCTGGGGCTCAAGCAATCCTTTCACATCAGCCTCCCAAGTAGCTGGGACCACAGGCGTGCACCACCATACCTGGCTAATTTTTGTATTTTTTGTAGAGATACGGTTCTGCCACATTACCCAGGCTGATCTCGAACTCCTGAGCTCAGACAATCCAACCAATGTGGCCTCCCAAAGTGCTGGGATTATAGGCATGAGCCACCGTACCCAGCCGGGTAAGGTCTTAACAACAGTATGATATGACCATTCTGACCAGACTCCACTCTAACAGATGTTGGTTCTTCCTATCAATTTCCTGTGACAACTCAGAGCCTCCCTCTATTTTACAAAGCTAGTCTAAGCTCTCATAAGGAAGGTTAAAAATGAAAACGACCCTTGCAATGGCAAGGATATCACTCAACAGTAAATACAAATCTCCTACTTAAGTCCTATAGATCCAATGCAGTATTAACCCACACAAACACTTTAGTGGCCAGTCTGTAGTGGTAATACCTCACTGAGAACATAACATTGTTTTTTGTATCGGCAGTGGACTCTACCACAAATAATATTTCTTCACCAGACCTGCCAAAACACACTATACCCAATTTGCACTCGGAACAAACTTGCTTAAAAAAAAATCATAAATTATAGCACATTTTTCCTTAGATGAATTAAACCTTCAACCTTTGCATCAAAACAGGATTGAATTTATGAAGCTTGAATGATTAAAAAAACATTAAGTGGAAAAAGTACAAACAGTTCTCATGTAGAGGAATCTAAAACAATGCAGTGGGTTAACCAAAATGGAGAGGATGAGAGGACGCAGCCTTTGGAATACTGACCCTTTCCAGGCTTCAGAGAGTTATCCCTGAAATCTAGGGATGCAGGCTCTGACATGCCTTATGACAGGGATCAGGGCTCCAGCCCCTCCTATTATGCAGTCACTAGGCATGGCCCCTGGAATTTGCAAACATGAGGGGTCACTCTGTTGTTATCAAGTCAATTTACCCTGAGCAGCAAAAAAAAAGTTTTAAATGGAATTAAACCATTCTAAGTAAATATCACTGTAATTCAAGATAGCAAAGGTCCTATAAATCCTACTTCAGAGGAAGAGAGGCTGAAGTTGAAATATTTATGACCAAAGTTCCTACAATGTATCAGGAATGAAAATTGAAGACAGGCTTCTCTCCAGAACTTGTAACTTTGTAAAATAGACGGGGCCTCTGAGTTGTCACAGGAAATTGATAGGAGGAACCAACATCTGTTAGACCCATTTAAAAAATGAGGGACACTGCAGGTTTTGTGCTTGTTCACAATTCCCAGAAGATAATCAAACTATTTCCAAGCTATGATTTCATTACATAAGTAACAGTAAATCCGACAAATAAATAATAAAATCACCCTAATGGTTAACAAGTCCCAAATATTACACTGAAATGAATGAAAATATTTGGTTTCAAGGATGAAATTGAAGTTATACACATTCTGTTTAGTTGTACATAGACTTTTGGTGACAGGTAACAAAATTCTACTGATAAAATTGCTTAAAATTATATTTAAGTCAGTGACAAAATTTCTTTTTATCAAAAGACTAAGAAAAAATAAACAATTGAGAGTTTTATAAGGAGAAAAGCAACTTATGTGGGTTCTGTTTATCTTTAAATGAGAAATATAATATTTCACCTACCTTTGTTTTTTCCAAACATTGGGACTAAAGAATATAAATTATATTTAATAAATACAAAACTGAAATTTAGCATACATTTTGTCATTGGTAATAATATCTCTTTGCAAAACCTAGCATATGATGGAGTATATGGAGAGGGGAAACCGGGACTGAATGGGTATAGAAGACCCACATTAAATAAAATGGGATGGAAAGAAGAGAGGGCCCCAGGGAGGAGACAAGCCCACAGGGGTCACATTCACAAACATACAAAGTGAGAAACGAAGAGACAGAGGCATCCGCTCAGACTTTCCAACCCAGATATTGAGCGTCCCACAGAATGACCCACAAGGAGTAACACATAGAGAATGACACACAGAGATACAGAGGAAACGAGAGAAAGCACACAGATACCAAAGCACACAATTTCATGAAAAAGCTGGTGGCCTACAGTACTGTACCTAGCTAATACATAGTAAATGACAGTTCATATTAGGGTAAGATTAAGTCATTCGTTTTAAAAATTCACCCTTTCTGAAGGCCTACCAAACCTAATGGAATAAGATATTATGCTTTTTATTTAGAATGTATCTATGACTATCATTTTTTCGAAAATCAGCTTTCTTCTTCTCCTGCCTTCTCCCATTGTAAATTAGCTCTTACCTGCCTCCTTCAAAGCGACTGATGAGATCTGATACCTTACTGGGTTTTTCTTTTGAGACACAAGAAGCAGAGGCAGGTTTAATTTCCTCCATCCTTGGTTTTGCACTAGGTAAAGCTTTATGCCTGGGGGTTTGGTGTATATTGGACGAAGGTGAATTCTGCAGGTGTAATGGCTTTGGAGGCACTGTAGAAAAAGAATAGAATATAGTATTTCACTGATATTTTGTTCAATAACAATAAAAATTCTGGTGTCCTGGGTGCAAAAATATTCAGCATTATAAAATTATTGTAAAGGGGGCAGGTGTCAAATTTTGAACTAAACCATAACCAAAAGACTTTTGTTCATTTTGGACATTTGCTTCATGCCTTGTGGAAATCCCATCTCCAAACTTAAGTGGTTCTTTTAATTTTATTGCATCTTAAATATGGCAATATTAAACACCTAGGAATCCACATAAGGCTAAAGCATTCTAAGGTCTATTACAGATAACACAGCAGTTATTCATCTCAACAGGGAAAAGGTGATGCTAAATTTAAAACTAAATCCTAGAGATACATTGTCTGCTACAAAACAGGTTTTCTAATAGTTATAGTTGATATACCAGAATCCACAGCTAATAAGTTAAACAACATAAAAGCCAACAAAACAACAACAAACAACAGTAATACAATGTTGCATTAATATAGCATCTTCTTCCCATTTAACAAAAGCACTTTATCTCATTTGATCTTTGATGAAATTTTATACTTTATAGTTCTCTCAGGTAGGTACTACTATTCTCTTCTTATGTCTATGAAGGCTTAGAGAGGTTTAGTGACTGACCTGGGGTAACAGAGTTGGTGCTACAGGCTTGGATATTTGTCCCCTCCAAACATCATGTTGAAATCTGGTCCCCAATGTTGGAGGTGGGAACTATAGGAGGGGTTTGAGTCATGTGTGCAGATCCCTCACGTATGGCTTGGTACAATTCTTGCCATAGTGAATAGGTTCTTGCTCCATTAGTTCCTCCAAGACTGGTTATTAAAAAGAGCCTGAAACCTCCCCCTTCTCTCTCTTGCTTCCTCTGTCTCCGTGTGATCTTTATACATGCCAGCTACCCTTTATCTTCTGCCATGAATGGAAGCAGCCTGAGGCTCTCACCAGAAGTCAAGCAGATGGTGGCACTGTGCTTCCTGTACAGCCTGCAGAACTGTGAGCCCAATAAGCCTCTTCATAAATTACCCAGCTTCGGGTATTCCCATATAACAACACTAAACAGCTTAAGATGGTTGGCCTGCATCAATATACCACAAATCATCTACTTTCTTCATAAGTCCTTCAATCAATTAATAGGATAAATAAAGATCATTTCATGAAATACTAAAATCTACAGAGTTTCCCTAACACACTGTAGATGATAAAATAATATGCCGTAAGTGCACAATCAGTAAAGAAATTACTTCATTTTTGAAAACCAGTATTACTTTTCTCTAAGATTAACATTCAGGGTAAAATACTATATAACATGTAGTATTTTTAAATAAGCAGTGTTGACAGATCAAATAGAATCATCTTTTTTCTTCCTTAAATCCTTTTCTTACCTTCTGGAAGAAGGGTGAGGAGTCATGTCGCCTCCTAATTACATGCCTCATTTTCCCCCAGCTGGTTCCCCTGGTTTTTAGTGATCTCATCTCTTTTATAAACTCAGTTAGCTGACAGTTGGCTCATGCTCACTGGCCTAGATCTCATCATTTCAGTGCCAGTTATCAATTTATTATAGGGAAGGAAAGAAATGTCACAATGAACTACAAGTGGAGCAATTAATTCACTTAATTCTCTTTCAATACAAACAATAAGAAAATCTCAATTTAAAAATGGCATGCTTCTTTTGTGAAAATGATATTTTCCAACATATGTTTGGGGGAGTGATTAACATAGTATTATCTGGGAACAATGGGGCTTATATAAGTGTAATATTTGTTAATTTTACAGAAAAAAACTTCTGTGTAGAATAAGTATGTACTAATGTAGCAAAACAGGAAAATCTCCCACCAAAAAACCCTTTTAACATTATGAGTAGTAAATATGAACTAATGCAGTAAAACAGGAAAATCTCCCACCCAAAAAAAAAAAAAAAACACTTAAGGTTATGAATAATTCAACATTCTTAGCTAGAATACTAAAGGAAGTGAATATAATTTTGTGTGCTAAAATTGTTATGAAATAACTCATTCATCTACCTAGAGTTTACTCACTTAAACATGCCTTATTTATTATGTGCCAGATGAGAGAAAAACTAAAATACAATGATACCCATCACTTTCTCAGGGATGACTCTACCCACTTTCCCAATCTAAATTGTGTCCACCTCTTAAACTGTTTCATAAGCACTGTGTGCTTTCTCCAAATTGCTTATCACAATTTGTGGCATAATTATTAAATAATTAGTAATGAGTACGATTAAATAATAAAGCTGCAGTAAAATAGTAAATATATTATGAATTTAAAGGTTTTTTTTCCTCCACAAGGCAGGAATTGATGAAGGTAAGGAATATATTACTTTTGATCACAGCTATATTTATAGTGTCTATTTGCATTATGTTTGGCAAATGTTTGGAACATTATACTTAGTGTGTCATCAAGGAGATCATATACTAGTGGAGAGGCACTTTAATGATGTTGATAAAAGTGAACACTGGGTACACAGGTATTTTAGAAGCACAGAGGAGGTATCAAATTCAGCAAGGGAGAAAATGTAAATGTACAGTAAATCAGTAAATATACACATTTTAAATAAAAAAGAACAAATGATACATGGATATGACAAATCTGAAGATGATACATGAATGACTAAAGTTAGACACACTGTCTTAGAAAAAATTCTATCACTTGTTCATCATTTATAATGTAATAAAAGTAACAGATACTTTGCCTCAAAATACCTAACTGATGAATGAAAATGATTCTTTCAACTCCCAAAGTTATGGAGTTAACTGAGGAATATCTAACGCAGGACTAAAAGAAAAAGAAATCTTGTATGCTATGTACTTACGACGCAAAAAAAATCCAATACCAGGCCAGGGGCGGCGGCTCACGCCTGTAATCCCAGCACTTTGGGAGGCCAAGGCGGGCGGATCATGAGGTCAGGAGATCGAGACCAACCTGGCTAACACGGTGAAACCTCGTCTCTACTAAAAATACAAAAAATTAGCCGGGTTTGGTGGCGGGCGCTTGTAGTCCCAGCTACTCGGGAGGCTGAAGCAGGAGAATGGCGTGAACCCGGGAGGCGGAGCTTCCAGTGAGCCGAGATCGCGCCACTGCACTCCAGCCTGTGCGACAGAGTGAAACTCCCGTCTCAAAAAAAAAATCCAATTCCAGTTAAAAACCAGGATCTCATGTTTCAGTCTAATAGTCTGTACCCAGAGGAAATGACAACAGATGGTAGAAGCAACCCAGGAATTGATACTTCAAATTATTGAGACTAAATTTCTCTTCATGGCCACCTTTCTTAGCTTCTGGGCAACCAAACAAATTGCAGCCAACGGCCTTTATATCTCTTGTATGTTTTTGTTCTGCTAATCTGTTGTTATGTCAGTTTAATTGATAGGTCCAGCTGGAGACCTAAAAGGTAATTAAACTGACATAAACACATATACAAGATCACAAATTAGAAAGGACCAGTAAATCCTTTGCATAGCAACATAATCCAGATTATGAAGACTATATTATAAAACTAAAAAGAAAATAAAAATCAAGGGCTAAAGAAATTACAATTTTATCAAATAGACAATTATTCACTTTTAAAAAGATTTCCCAAATTAGTTATGTAAGAAGGGAAAAGATTATAAATTGTAGGCAATATTCTAAGGATGCAGTTTATTATCAGTCTCTATTGGCATTACAGACGATGAGAATGGAAAACCCTAAAGTTCCGATTCCTCCTCTTCTTGGTATTTCAATTATTTATTTATTTAGATTTTTTTCCCTTTCATCAGATAAATATTAATTCTAGAGATCAATAGTGTGACATTTAAAACTAGCAAAATCATTTCCAGATTTGTGTTTCACACTCTGAGAACAGTGTAGTATGCAAACACAGTCTTTCCCTACTTGATTGTTAAGCTCCCTAGAGCAAGTAAGCTTTTCAGGTAAAAGGTGCCCTGAATCCAATATACCTACTATAACATTTACTTAGCTGAATAAGATCAGCTAAGTACAATTCTGCTAGGATATGAACAACTGCAGAATCATGTTGTAAGAACCTTATTATATATCTAGAGCTAAATGAAAACAACATGTCTATTGGAAAGCCACCACAGTAGGTTCATTTTCTTTTCTATTTTATCTTTTATGCGTGTGTGTGTATGTATGTGTGTGTGTAAACATACATACACACACGCACGCACACAGATGGTCTTGCTCTGTCACACAGGCTGGAGTGCACTGGTGCAATCATATCTCATTGTAACCTCAAACTCCTGGGCATAAGTGATCCTACATCTCAGTCTCCAGAGTAGCTGGGATTACAGGTGACAGCCACCCCTCCTGGCTTCATTTTCTTTTGAAATAGATTTCTTGGGAACTTTCTTACTGCTTGGCTCATCTCTACTCTCCCACCCCCTATGCAGCCTAGATTCCAGCCACACTGAATTGCATCTTCCATTGTAAGCTTGGTAAGGTTTTTTCAGGCCTTCAGGCTTTGGCGCATACCTAGAATGGTCCACTTGGCAAAATCCCCTAATTCCCACAAGGCTCACCTCAGTCATCAACTTTTTAAGAAGGCTTATCTGACTCTTCCACCTCTTGCCCTCCTACCCTGCCTCAAAAATCTTCAAATATCTTCTCAACTAACATTTGTCATTTTGTTTTATAATATTTTACAACCAGGGTTGCCTCCCTAGACTTTTGAGTTCCTTGATTAACAGGAAATGAATCTCATCTTTGTTTCAGCTCAATACTTCTTGTAACCCATGATTATAGGTTAACATTCAACTCTTTTTTTCTTTTTTTTTTTTGAGACAGAATCTCACTCTGTCACCCAGGCTGGAGGGTAGTGGTGCAATCTCAGCTCACTGCAACCTCCGCCTTCCAGGTTCAAGTGATTCTTGTGCCTCAGCCTCAAGAGTAGCTGGGATTACAGGAACCTGCCACCACACCCAGTTAAGTTTTGTACTTTTAGTAGAGACAGGGTTTTGCCATGTTGGCCAGGTTGGCCTCAAACTCCCGACCTCAGGTGATCCGCCTGCCTCAGCCTCCCAAAGTGCAAGGATTACAGGCGTGAGCCACCGTGCCCAGCCACATTCAACTCTTAAGGAAAATCACTATTTCATAAAACAAATTCATATTTAATCTTACTGCTCCTATCAAAGACTGAAAAAGTAACACACAGCTACTTTGAGAAGTAAATGACTAGAAAATGATTTAAAAACACACGAAAGAACCCGACCTGTGAAAGCACTTTGTACTTGCACAAGATTAACATATATGAGACGTCTATTTTTAAGATAACCATATAACATCTATGTGAAATTTTGTGGCAGGATACAAAGTTTCAAAATATAAGAATGCCCTTCATCTGCCCCCTTCTTTGTTCTGCCATCCTTGGCTCTTCTACAAGGCCCTGTGAAGAACTGGATCTTACAGACCCAGATAAGACTTTTGTATTATCTGGAATTATTTTGTATTATTTTGTATTATAAGGAAGAAAGGAATAACAATCAGAATAAAAAACTGAGGCACGATGTCTCATGCCTGTAATCCTAGCACTTTGGGAGGCCGAGGCAGGTGGCTCACCTGAGGTCAGGAGTTCGAGACCAGCCTGAACAACATGGCGAAACCCCACGCTACTAAAAATACAAAAATTAGCCGGGCGTGGTGGCACATGCCTGTAATCCCAGCTACTTGGGAGGCTGAGGCAGGAGAATCGCTTGAACCTGGGAGGTGGAGGTTGCTGTGAGCTGAGATCATGCCACTACACTCCAGCCTGGGCAATAGACAGCCTGCCTCAAAAAAAAATTAAATACATAAGTAAATAAATAAATAAATAAACTCCTATGCACTATTAACTAAAAGACCTAACAGTCCAAAGGATATAGACAGGAAAAATGGTGTTCACCCTCACTTATTAGTATTTCAGGGAAATACAAATTAAATCCATAAGCTGACACCATTTCAGTCAAATCAGATTGACTAGAATTTTAGCATTTCTTTTTTTTTTTTTTTTTTTTTTGAGACAGCGTCTTGCCCCATCGCCCAGGCTGGAGTGCAATGGCGCGATCTCAGCTCACTGCAACCTCCACCTCCTGGGTTCAAGAAATTCTGCTGCCTCAAACTCCCAAATAGTTGGGATTACAGGTACGCACCACCCACGACTGGCTAATTTTTTGTATCTTTAGTAGATGGGGTTTCACCATGTTGGCCAGGCTGGTCTCGAACTCCTGACCTCGTGATCCGCCCACCTCGGCCTCCCAAAGTGCTGGGATTACAGGCGTGAGCCACCACGCCCAGCTTGACCAGAATTTTAAATCTGACAATACCAAGTGTCAGTGAAGATATGAAGCAATGTGAACACAACATTTTTGATGACAGTATAAATTTATAAAACCACTAAGAATTCAGCATTTAGAAAATATATATCCTAGAACAATTCTTATACCTCTATATAGGGTGTTTATTTTCACTTTTTCATTAATTAAATGAATACTTATTGAATATCTACTAGGTTCTAGCCACTTGAGCCTATCAATGAGCAAAGGAAAAATGAACAAAAAAATAGCAAGTAAATCATTTATCGGAAGGAGGTAAGTGCTAGGAGAAAACGTGGTGAGGGCTAAAAGAACAAGATAAATACCATCCAGGGTGTGGGAAGTCAAAGGGAGGGCAGATTTCAGTCTTAAACAGGGTGTTCAAAGTCAGGCCTCCGTGAAAAGCTGGGATTTGAGTAAGCCTTGAAGTGGAAGGAACTGTTTGGGGAAGGGCTTTCCAGCAGATGGAATGACAGCCAGGGACAGCTGGGGTCTGGAGGCCAGCAGGATTGGAGCAGAATGGGCATGTGGACAAAAGTAGTGCATAGGGAGGCCTGAGAAAGTAGACTCTGGACCACTTATTTTGACTTTGCATGAAATGAGAAGTCCCTGCAGGGTTCTGGGCTGAAATGTAACATGATATAACTTAACTTTCAGCAGGATCACTCTGGGAGCTGTGTTGAGAATGTAGAGGAAAACAGGGGAGAAGCAGGGTGGACAATTAAGAGGATATTATAGAAATTCAGGCAAGAGATCACAGTGCTTAGGAAAAGGTAGTGAGAGATACTTGGATTCTAGGTAAATTTTTAAAGTAGATTTCCTGATAAGATTAAATTAGACATATGAGAGAAAGAGAGGGGAGGCAAGGATGACTCTGAAGCCTTGGGTCTCAACTACCAGAAGGATGGAACGATGGTCAAGTGACATAGCAGGCAGAGCAATTTTTGGAGAGGAGAATAGCAGTTAGCAGTTCAGTTTCATATACACTAAATTTGAGATCTCTATCAGACTGTAAATAAGATGGGTTTTATTACACCCAAATTTATAGATGTAAATAGGAAAAAAAATTGATCATTCAAAGTAATTATCTAGAATGAAAAGAAACCAATTGCCAGTTTAAGTCAGTAGTCTTCAATTACTCTTCTTTTTGAAAACAGAAACAACAAAAGCTGGCTATGTATAAATGCATTATAACATTACACTTTTAAAAGAATGGATCATTATACATAGATTTTTACTTTAGAAGCAAATGAATAGGTTTAAGTACTCTATATTTATGTAAGTTACTCAAACAACAATGTGGCTCTTTAAAGCATTTAATGATTGAGATATTATGTGACAATTTGCACTTTATAAAAATAATCAGGAACTATGGAGAATGTTCTGGATAGAAGCTGTTAAGAGAAAAAGAACTATTAACTTTAATTACTAAAGGAGCTATTTTGAGTCACTGTCTAGCATGGCAGGAAACAGGCCAGTATTAAAAGCGGTGAACAAGAAGAAAGACTTATGCTGGAGGTTGCTCAGTAATTTGTTTGACTATTAGGATTGGTATGAAGTGAATAAGCCATTGTTTCCAAGGCCTTAGGGTATTTTCTGAGGCTGAGGCAAAACAAGCTCTAATTATGAAACAAATCCATTTCAAAATCTACATATTCCAATTTGGATCCAAATGCAAGTTTATCCAATCTCTAATCTAAAATTTATCTTTCTTTCTTTCTGCTGATTTTGAAATAGCAAAGGGCTGCCATTCTGGTCATTCCTTTTTCAGGTTTAAAATAAAATAAAACTTAGCTCATTCACCTTTTAAAAACCTATAAATAATTCTTCAAAAATATTTACTTACTGGTAATTAATAAACACAAAAACGTAAACCATATATTGTTCCAGAGACATTACTACATAATCACCACTAATAAAGATGTGCAATACTTTCCCCTTTTAAAATTACCACAATAGGCTGGGCACAGTGGCTCATGCCTGTAATCCCAGCACTTTGGAAGGCCAAGGCAGGCAGATCACCTGAGGTCAGGAGTTTGAGACCAGCCTTGCCAACATGGTAAAACCCAGGTTCTAACAAAAAATACAAAAATTATCTGGGCGTTGTGGTACATTCCTGTAGTCCAGCTACTGAGGAGGCTGAAGTGGGAGAATCACTCAAACCTGGGAAGGGGAGGCCGCAGTGAGCCAAGATCACACCACTGCACTCCAGCCTGGGTGACAGAATAAAACCCTCTCTCTCAAAAAAAAAAAAAAAAAGCCCACAATAAATTGTGACTATAATCTTCTTAGCAATCTACATAAGGAAAAAAAGATATAATTACGTGCTTATTTTTATCTAGGTGAGAGTTTTGCAAATGCAGCAACTGATATTATAGTTTGTACGAATTCTTTGTTGTGGACTGTCCCGTGCATTGCAGGATGTAGAGCAACAGCCCTACCCTGCACTCACTGGCTGCAAGTAGCAACTCCCACAAGCAGTGTCAAGCAGAAATGTCCCCAGATACTACCAATGTCCTATTGTCGGGGGAGGATATGCAAGTGTGGGCAAAACTGTCTCCGCTTGAGAACTACTCACCTAGAATAAGAGTCCTAAATTAAACTAAAACAACATAGTGTTGTGGGTAGCAACTATCCGGGGCTGGTGGTGTTGGCAGTAAAGGAATTTACCAAGACAGTTGTAGGTAGAGAAAGGCATATTTATTACACAAAGTATGAAAATAACACTGCAAGAAAGCAACAGGCAGATCAGCAAGACAGGAGCTGACTACAAAGAGACAAAGGCTTCCTGGGGATTTTATAGGATGGTGCTTGTGCTGGAGAGGGCTACATGCAGTACTGATAATGCCAGTGCCAAGGTTGCAGTGAGCTAACTTTCATTTTTCTATCAGCCACAGTGTCTGGTGATAAGTGCAGGAAGATTGTGAGTTATTTGCACAGGAGGGCTACACGCCCTGGACCAGGAAGAAAGGCAGACTTAACAGTTTATCTGCTTTTTCTTTCTGCTTTCCCCTGCTCCTGCCAGCCTGACTCCACTTCCCTTGTTAGGACCACACACATAGTGACCTTGAAGTCCCAGCAACCTCACCATTCACAACTTGTAAGGGATTTGCAGTGAGGCAGGAACAAAGGTGTCGGGGGTGATAATTCCTTGGTCCATGCAGTAGGTCCCTATTAACACCCCCTTCTCTTCTCTGCCTCCATCACCCAAATGTTAGGAGAAATTAAAATCAGCTTCTCTCCACTAAAGAGTAAGAAACACTCATTACTGGGTACTGTTGATTGACTTACTGACCAATCTATGTGGCAGCTCATCTGACAATACTAAGATGTAGCCTCGTTTCAGGGACGTTGGTCCCTGCATGGCGCATGTTCAAAGTTTTAAAGAATAGCAGAAACAAAGGGGAAGAAATGCAGCAATATAGCAGTGTTATTGAAGACTGGTTATGTACTATGTGAGCGGACACATAGGCAGAAAAAACTGAGCTGATGAGTAAAACATACAGCAGGTCAGGTTGTAATGAATGAGAAAAAATAAAGTTCATACGGAGTGCTGTGGTCTGAGTGTTTGTTTGTGTCCCAAAATTCATGTTGCCATCCTCATTCCCAAGGTGACAATATGAAGAGGTGGGGCCTTTGGGAGGTGAGTAGGTCATGAGGACTGAGCTCTCATTAGTCAAATTAGTGCCATTGAAAAGAGGCCCCAGAGAGACCTCTCACCCCTTCCACCCTGTGAGGTTATAGTGAAAAGATGGCCATCTATGGACCACAAAGCAGGCCCTCATTACACTCTGAATCTGATCTTGGACCCACCTGTGGACCAGAAAGCAAGCCCTCATCAGACCCTGAATCTGATCTTGGACTTTCAGATCACAAAACTGTGAGAACTACATTTCTATTGTTTATAAGCTACCCAATTTATGGTATTTTGTTACAGCAGCCTGAACAGACTACAACATAGGGAAATATAAAAGGGCAGGGTGAAAGGTGAGGTTAAAATTTTAGCCATGGGTATCAGGGAAAGGCCAAACACTGCCTGAAAGTATTTTGAAAAAGAAGTATAAAGTACTCCATGATTTATTTAATATCTGCAAATATTCCCTTTAGTTAGAAAAGTATATATACATAATTAGCCCATATTTAACATAGGAAGTAAATATGTATTTAAATAACTATATCGTGGCTTTAATATAACTACACAACAGCAAAAGCAAGGTTAAGTGTTGTCTACTTAAAAAGGGGATTATTTTGGCACATGCAACTCAGAAAGGACACTCTTATATCTCTCAATACACTGACGTTGGAAAACAACGAAGTATTGCACTGCATCTTCCAAAAATAAAGGCTTTTTAAGTAATGAAATTCTTCCTTTGATCAGGAAAATTACAACTACAATTGTATTCATTATTAATATTCTTACCTCACACTGGATCTTTGTCAACTCGGGTCTAATGGGCGAAATGGAATTTTATATTTTGGAAATAAAAAGGCTTAAATCATGGTCAAAAAAAGTCCTATGTTTATATTCACGTCAATGCTATAAGGGAGCAGTGTAGTCAAAAGAAATGGTTGTAAGCTCATGAATAGGCTACTCATCTGAATCATCAATTATCTGACCTTGCTTGATAGTGATATTCCATACCACCACAAATATAATTGTAGTGAGAACAAGACAAATATCCCATAATCTAGAAGATTCATTTTAAACTCGTTCTAAAATTTTCTTTCAGAAATCCTTAAAACATACAACTTTAAGGAATAACACCACTTATTTTATAATGCATGCTCTAGAATACATTTTTCTTTGCAAGAACAGGAAAGAGAACTAAGTAAACACAAAATAAATAAAAATAGAAACTGATTTTTCCCAACTGTAGTAATTCTGACAATGCCCAGTATTATTTCTCATATCTGTTTAGCATTCACTATAAATGAAAATCTGTAAGGAAGAAACTACACATTAAACTGTAGGGTAGCTTAGCTTTTGTGTTCCATTTCAAAAGGCCTTGCTCTCTATCATCAAAACTATAATTCTGTGCTTCTCAAAGTTAATACCCAGTTCACTGGAAATTTCTTTGTAAAAGGAAATGGTCACTGAAAAAAATCATTCAAGCTTCCTACCATTATGGCTTTTTCTTTACCCTCACTGGCCACTCAATCCTGAATGAAGGGCTGTTACTGTTCCTTTCTGCGGAAGACCTTACTATCAGGTGTTTTCATGCCCTACCTCCTTAATATTTTCAAGTCACATGCTTGATAAGTACACGAAGTGCTGTTTTAGAATTATGTTTTACAGATACTGACATCTAGCAAATCATTTCTTTCTAACAGTAGCTCCAAACACATTTATTACACAGACAGTAAGTCCCTGTACTAGATCAGGCATAATAAAGAGATCACAGTTCCGTTAAGATGACATGCAAACAATTTCAGCAACATGAAAAGATCCATATAGAGAAATGTATGTTGTTTCAGGAGCAGAACAAATAGCAACCTCTGCCTGAGAAGATGCACAGATGGACTCTTCTCTAAAAAATAATGTACCCAATTCCTTCCTTCTAGCTTAAAACACTTTCTTTGTGGCCATCATTTTTCTGGTTAGCCTTCATTGATCAACAACGTACCCACCCCGAACACAAACTCCCAGTGAGCATACCTTGTGGCTTTGGACTTGCAGCTGAGTGTTTTGCTGGCCTGTTCCCATTTATTCCCTGAGCCTCTTCTTCAGATACATTCTCACCAACCAGTGTGGTTGTGCTGCTTGTGGAGCAAGGTGGAACTAAAGCGATCTTTGGACAGGTACTGCTGCCTGCAAGAGTTCAGAAAGAAAGGGCAGGTAAGTATGGAGGCATATCACAATACTGCCTTATAAGTTAAATTTCCCCTCTCCCACTCCCTCTCCCTCCCCCTCCCCCTCCCTCTCCCTCTCCCCTTTCCACGGTCTCCCTCTCTTTCCACGGTCTCCCTCTGATGCCGAGCCGAAGCTGGACTGTACTGCTGCCATCTCGGCTCACTGCAACCTCCCTGCCTGATTCTCCTGCCTCAGCCTGCCGAGTGCCTGCGATTACATGCCCGCGCCGCCATGCCTGATTGGTTTTCGTACTTTTTTGGTGGAGACGGGGTTTCGCTGGGTTGGCTGGGCTGGTCTCCAGCTCCTAACCGCGAGTGATCCGCCAGCCTCGGCCTCCCGAGGTGCCGGGATTGCAGATGGAGTCTGGTTCACTCAGTGCTCAATGGTGCCCAGGCTGGAGTGCAGTGGCGTGATCGCGGCTCGCTACAACCTCCACCTCCCAGCCGCCTGCCTTGGCCTCCCAAAGTGCCGAGATTGCAGCCTCTGCCCGGCCGCCACCCCGTCTGGGAAGTGAGGAGCGTCTCTGCCCGGCTGCCCATCGTCTGGGACGTGAGGAGCCCCTCTGCCTGGCTGCCCAGTCTGGAAAGTGAGGAGTGTCTCTGCCTGGCCGCCATCTCATCTAGGAAGTGAGGAGTGCCTCTTCCCGGCCGCCATCCCATCTAGGAACTGAGGAGCGTCTCTGCCCGGCCGCCCATCGTCTGAGATGTGGGGAGCACCTCTGCCCCGCCACCCCGTCTGGGATGTGAGGAGCGCCCCTGCCCGGCCGCGACCCCGTCTGGGAGGTGAGGAGCGTCTCTGCCCGGCCGCCCCGTCTGAGAAGTGAGGAGACCCTCCGCCTGGCAACCGCCCCGTCTGAGAAGTGAGGAGCCCCTCTGCCCGGCAGCCACCCCCTCTGGGAAGTGAGGAGCGTCTCCGCCCGGCAGCCACCCCATCCGGGAGGGAGGTGGGGGTCAGCCCCCGCCAGGCCAGCCGTCCCGTCCGGGAGGGAGGTGGGGGGGGTCAGCCCCCCGCCCGGCCAGCCGCCCCGTCCGGGAGGGAGGTGGGGGTGTCAGCCCCCCGCCCGGCCAGCCGCCCCGTCCGGGAGGTGAGGGGCACCTCTGCCCGGCCGCCCCTACTGGGATGTGAGAAGCCCCTCTGCCCGGCCACCACCCCGTCTGGGAGGTGTACCCAACAGCTCATTGAGAACGGGCCGGGATGACAATGGCGGTTTTGTGGAATAGAAAGGGGGGAAAGGTGGGGAAAAGATTGAGAAGTCGGATGGTTGCCGTGTCTGTGTAGAAAGAAGTAGACATGGGAGACTTTTCATTTTGTTCTGTACTAAGAAAAATTCTTCTGCCTTGGGATCCTGTTGATCGGTGACCTTTTACCCCCAACCCTGTGCTCTCTGAAACATGTGCTGTGTCCACTCAGGGTTAAATGGATTAAGGGCGGTGCAGGATGTGCTTTGTTAAACAGAGCTTGAAGGCAGCATGCTCGTTAAGAATCATCACCACTCCCTAATCTCAAGTACCCAGGGACACAAACACTGCGGAAGGCCGCAGGGTCCTCTGCCTAGGAAAACCAGAGACCTTTGTTCACTTGTTTATCTGCTGACCTTCCCTCCACTATTGTCCTATGACCCTGCCAAATCCCCCTCTGCGAGAAACACCCAAGAATGATCAATAAAAAAGAAAAATAAAATAAGTTAAATTTCCCCTGACCCCATAAAACAAAAACAGTCATAGTTACAAGACTAAGCATAGAAACACTTTTCCCACATGGGCTGGCCTTGACAAAGAGTTTTCCTGGGAACTATCTCATTCCATGTGCTTTAGGAATCTTATAATGGATGTTGACAGAAGACTGTTATACACAGGCCTCCTCTCCTTGCAGGGCCACAGAAAGGGCAGAACGCAGCTGCTACAATGTAGGCGAAGGAAAGGACGGAATTAATCCGTTAAAAGCCTTCCTTTTTAGTGTTGGGTCTGTGGCTAGTCACAGAGCAACTCAAAAGAACAAAGGAGGAAAGCCCAACGTGACAGCTGACCTAAAGACTCTAGAAGAATGGCTCGATTTGAAACTAACAAATACACACATGCGCCCACGTCCACACACACACCCTCTCGCCCACTAGCTTACTCAGACTCCACATCAACATCCATGACATACGCTAACGGTGACCCATGTTTTCCAAAGAAAGGATGGCAAGATTATACAGATAACATGGTCACATTTATATAGAACTCAAAAACTCCAAAATGTTCTTTAAAATCACACAAATACATCATGAGACATAGATGAAGAGGAAGGATTAAATGTTTGTTCACTTTCTGGTATAAAAAGTTATATGTTGAATTTCAGAGACTTTTAAAGAAGTCATGTGTCAGTGTTCTCTATTATGCATATTAGATTTCCTTCTCTTCTGGTTGACATGGTGATATTAAGACCACTGACTCTGCTTCAGAGAAAATAAAATTTCTACCAGGAAATTCAGTATAATTGAATCAAAGAATGCAATTTAAGGAATTATCATTTGGTTAAGAAACAAAGAGTTTCATTTTTTATAGAATCCAAATATCTCAAAGAGAACTCAGAGATTTTTTTAAGCCTTAATTATTGAAAACAAGCTATTTTTAAAAAACCCAATCAACTTTCTATTGAGTAAAAAAAACCCAAAAAATTCTTAATCCAATTCATTATTAAATAATATTGATTAGAAACCACATTTGGGCCAGGTGCGGTGGCTCATGCCTGTAATCCCAGCACTCTGGGAGGCCAAGGCGGGTGGATCACCTGAGGTCAGGAGTTCAAGACCAGCCTGGCCAACATGGTAAAACCCCGTCTCTACTAAAAATACAAAAATTAGCCAGATGTGGTGGTGGGCGCCTGTAATCCTAGCTACTCAGGAGGGTGAGACAGGAGAATCACCTGAACCCAGGATGGGGGGAGGTTGCAGTGAGCTGAGATCGCACCATTGCACTCCAGCCTGGGCAACAAGAGTGAAACTCCATCTCAAAAAAAAAAAAAAAAAAAAAAAAAACAAAACCCAACAAAGAAACCACATTTCTGCTTTATTTTCTGTTGCTCTCCTTAAAATTTATCTTGGTAAAACAGATTTTGGAAAATATCAAGAGTTCCAAGTATTGTCTCAACAGTTCTTTCAGAGCCAATACCAAAACAGAAATTAAATGACGCTAGGAATTTGAGACCAGCCTGGGCAACATAAGACCCTGCCTTTACTTAAAAAAAATAAAAATTAGCTGGGCATGGTGGTGCGCGCTTGTGGTCCCAGCTACTGGGGAGGTTGAGGTGAGAGGATCTCTTGAGCCCAGGAGGTTGAGGAAGCAGTGAGCTATAATCACACCACTGCACTCCAGCCTGGTCAACAGAGGGAGACCTTGCAACTCTGAGAAAAGAAAAAAAAAGGCAGGGGTGGTCCTCATCAGACATACTTCTGCTAAAATGGTTTATCAGCGAGATTAAGCATTGTTTAGTAAAATATAACAAGAATTTAGAAGGCAAAAGTAATGAAAGATTGACAGATTATTATTAAAATTATAAAAAGGCTGGGTGCAGTGGCTCACGTAATCTCAACACTTTGCGAGGCTGAGGCAGGCAGATCACTTAAGCCCAGGAGTTTGAGACCAGGTAGGCAGCCATGGCAAAATCCTGTCTCTTCAAAAAAATACAAAAAACATTAACTGGGTGTGGTGGCATACATCTGTAGTCCCAGCTACTTAGAAGGCCGAGGTGCGAGGATGGCTTAAACCTGGGAGTTTGAGGCCACAGTGAGCCGTGATCACACCATTGCGCTGCACTCCAAAATGAGTGACAGAGCGAGACACCATCTCAAAATAAATAAAATTATAAACAGAAGAAATACAGTTGAAACCTTTACATGTGTAAGCTTATCTATCTTCTTGGAAAAAAGTATGTGAAATAGGCAAAGTATATCCCTAAAATCCACAACACATCATGCAACCACTTGGCCTTTCAGGGGGAAAATCTGGATGCTTTTTCACAGTGATACTAAGAATGGCTTAAAGGCCACCTTTGAGCCTACTAAAGGCCACCTCCCGGGGTCTAGTGAAGGATGGCTGTACAGGCCCCAACAGTGCAGAGCCACAGCTCAACTACAAACTAGAGGAAGAAACTAATGTAATTGTAAATTGAGACCCTGAGACATCATCAATTTATAAGAGAAAGCAGCAACAATACTACACAAAGGGGGCAGTTAATGGGTTAAATGAGAAAACAAATTACGTTGAGTCTTTTTAAAAAGGTCATCACCATTACACATTAAAATATGAAAAATGTTTGACAGTCTATTTAGAAATAAAACATGTCTTACCTAAATATTAATTTGAATGAAAACTAGGCACTTAATTTCTAGACAGCAAACTTTCAGGGTATGGTAGGTTTCGCAAGTGTCATGTTTACAGAGAATATCTCCCACGAATGTGCCAAAATGCGTGCAATAAGAGATCAACTGTGCATCTATTTTTAAAATAAGTTCATCAAAGTCATGATTACACATCTTTTGCCAGAGGCAATTAGATCAACATTTCAGAACATTGTTTATTAAAACAAGTCTCTAAATTTCAGCCACTATCACAAAGCATGAAAACATGGTGAAGGACACAGAGAACATTTACATTTTTAAACATTTGTTTAAAAAAACAAAAAGGCAATGACAAATACATAGAGATCATACGTGGCTGCAAGGCTAAAAATACTATTAATAATTATTTGGCCCTTTACAGGAAAAAAATGTACGGACCACTGGTATAGGTTAAACAAATCATGGTAAAAGAAGTTTGCCTAAAAGAAGCACCCTTTCATTAAACACTTCATCTGCTAACATCTTGGATAATAGCAACAAAAACTGAAACTTTTTGTTTGTTTATGACTGACTTAGCCTACTCATATTTGGAAACAGTCCTTATTTGGGTGTCAGTTGCCTAACAGGGAATTGAAACCAAAATTGTAACCAGATGGTCTCTCATTCAAGAAGTTTTACATTAACTCTAGAGGTTCTTTGATTGCAAATTACAATATCAAGAAGAACCAGTAGGGCTGATTTATAATTATAAACAGTTACCTTAGAAACAGCCATAACAAATTACAGTATGTTAGTTAGCATGGGGAAGGAGAGGTATCCGATTTAAATACTATCTCCTCTTGAGGACTGGTCATCTTTTTAACCACTTTTTAGTATTAACCCATTTTGTACTCTGACCTTGGGTTGCTGACCTATGCTTGCTGGGTTGTATCTCCTATAGGAATCCCTAGACATACGCCAACCTCAAATATTCTCAATTAGCCTCACTGTTGACTGATATAGCTCCCTCGTTCCAACTGCAGAGGTTGCCACTATGGCTTAACTTTCCTTTATCTGTCTTTTTTGGCATTTAAACAGTCATGCGCTAAGTCACACTTTTGTGTGGTAGATATGCCCTACGATTGGTTAGGGTGACTTTTGGCTACTATTTGCTAGACTCTGTTATAGGCTGTTATATTACATTTTACCAAATCATTCTTGAATTATTGTTTCGCATTTTAAGTTTGGACCCTCTCTTTGGCTATCCATTGCAAAATCCACTCAGTTCTCTGATTCTTCGAGCCTGACCTCTTACCACAGTGTCCATGAGCTCAGATCACAGCTTTATACGGTCTTGCTTATACTGTCTCATCCATCCATGCACTGGGTCTCTAGCCCAGGAGATCTCAATGGGGTCCACCCTTTGGGACAAGCATCTCTTGGATTTAAGAGGGAAGACACAGTTTTCTAGGGTAGACGATCTTTATGGGAGCATATTGTCCATAAGGATAAACATACTTTAAAAAACCAAAAACCACTTTATTTGCATTTAGTTTTCACTGTCTCCTTAGTGTACTACAACCTGTGAGAATTACTTAGATTTGTCTTGCATGACTTTTGGCACCATAGCACTTTTGAAGAACATGGTCAGGTATTTTGTGGAATGTCCCTCAAATTGGGTTTCTGTTATTTTCTCATTATGAGACTGTGGTTATGGGTTTGGGGTAAGAATATCACAGAGGCAATGCACCCATCTCACTTTATTATATTAATATCACTGCATGATAGCAATATGATTATCATGTGATGTTAACCCTGGTCGGCTGATGAGGTGGCATCTACCAGGTTTCTCTACTGTAAAACATTATTATAAAACATTTTTCAACAGTCTTCTATCATAACTCCCAAAACTCCCCCATTTGTCCCATAGATTGCAGATTACATCTCCCATATGCTAGCTAAAACACCTAGATTAAGAGATCAATTGCCTTTTTTAAAAAAAAGACATTAAGGTTATAAAACTCATAGTTTACAACTCTCTTGCTATGGGGAACAAATCCATAGCCAGGAAATTTATTTGAGTGTTATTTCAAACAGCTCCCCAAACTTCTAAACCTGAATAATAAATTTTCTAGAAACATAATTATCAAGCCACAAAGGTTCTTCAAAAAGAAAATCTGATGAAGAGTTAAAGAAAGTTCCTTGGACCTAGGAACTGCATGCACTTCTAGGACTCTAATCTACAGTAATAGCCCTGTACATGTAAAGGTAAATATAACACTATAGAACATATGCAGCAGACTGGGAATATTTCCAAAATATAAATAATTGAGAGGTCTCCAAGACATTATTAAACTGTAGAATATGTATAATATCTCAGTTTTTAAAAAGAATAAGTTATAGACAAATGTATAGAAATGTACTGAAAGAGAGGGAAGATAGCACACCAAATGTAACTTTGGGAATTGCAGATGGAGGTGAGGTGAGAGAATGAATGAGAATTTTCATATTTTGGTCTGTTAACAGCTATATCATTTAAATCTTTTATAATAAAAATGTATTTATATATCACTTATATTTTTAAAAATCTATGAAAGTCACCAAGTATACATATCACAGAGACTTTTAAAAAAGCATATCCCTGCTGGGCATCGTGGCGCAGGCCTGTAATCCCAACACTTTGGGAGGGTGAGGCGGGCAGATCACCTGAGGTCAGGAGTTCAAGACCAGCCTGGGAAACATGGTGAAACCCAGTTTCTACTAAAAATACAAAAAGTAGCTGGTCATGATGGTGGGTACCTGTAATCTCAGCTACTCAGGAGACTGAGGTGGGAGAATTGCTTGAATCCGGGAGGCGGAGGTTGCAGTGAGCCAAGACTGTGCCACTGCACACCAGCCTAGGTGACAGAGTGAGACTCCATCTTAAAAACAAAAAACAAAAACATATCCCTTACATTTGTACATCCATGTTCACAGCAGCATTAATTCACAATAGTCAAAGAGTAGAAGCAGGCCTGGCGCAGCAGCTCACACCTGTAATCCCAACACTTTGGGAGGCTGTGTCGCCCACCACCATGTGCAGCTAATTTTTGTATTTTTTAGTAGAGACAGGGTTTCACCACGTCGGCCAGGCTGGTCTCGAACTCCTGACTTCAGGTGATCCACCCACCTTGGCCTCCCAAAGTGCTGGGATTACAGGTGTGAGCCACTGCGCCCAGCAGGAAATTCTATCATATGCTACAGCATGGATGAATCTTGAGGACATACATAATGCTAAGTGAAATAAGCCAGTTACAAAAAGAGAAATACTGTATAATTCCACTTTAAAATCATAGAAACAGAAAATGGAATGAAGGTTTTGAGGACCTGGGAGGAAGAAGAAAAGGGAGTTATTGTTTAGTGGGTGCAGAATTCAGTTTTGCAAGATGAAGAGTTCTGTGGATGATAGTGGTGAATGTATTTAATGACAGTGAAATGTACATTTAAAAATGGCTATGATGGCAAATTTTAAGTACCTTTTACCACAATTAAAATTAAAAAAAATTTTAAAGCATACCCCTTGTTTAACCAAGGAAAAGTCAAGAAATATTAAGCTGTTCTTATCTCTGACATGGCAAGAAACCATATTAAAGGCTCTTTAAAATTAAAGTGCCTGGCCAGGCATGATGGCTCATGCCTGTAATCCCAGCACTTAGGGACGCCACGGAGAGAGGACTGCTTAAGATAAGAGTTTGAGACTAGCTTCGGCAACACAGCAAGACACTATCTCTACAAAAAGTAAAAAAAAAAATTAGCTGGGCATGGTGGTGCACACCTATAGTCTTAGCTACTTGGGAAGATTACTTGAGCCCAGGAGTTTGAGATTGCAGTGACCTGTGATTGCACCACTGTGCTCCAGCTGTAACAGAGTGAAAGACCTTGTCTCGGCTGGGCGCAGTGGCTCACGCCTGTAATCCTAGCACTTTGGGAGGCTGAGGCAGGTGAATCATGAGGTCAGGAGATCGAGACCATCCTGGCTAACACGGTGAAACCCCGTCTCTACCAAAAATACAAAAATTAGCCGGGCGTGGTGGTGGGCGCCTGTGGTCCCAGCTACTCGGGAGGCTGAGGCAGGAGAATGGCGTGAAACCGGGAGGCGGAGCTTGCAGTGAGCCGAGATGGCGCCACTGCACTTCAGCCTGGGTGACAGAGCGAGACTCCATCTCGAAAAAAAAAAAAAAAAAAAGACCTTGTCTCTTAAAATTAAATATTGAAGTGCACTTGGATTAGTGCTTGGTTCTCGTCTCCCACTTGCACCCACACTTCCATGCCTTCCACATGTTGAGATTATCCTACACTTAAATCTCTACTGCAGACCTCACCCGTCTCCAGATTTACACATGCAGTTGCCTACCAGCATCTTCCCCAGTATGTCTAAGAGCCATCTCACTATCAACAGATTCATATCTGAACCCCTCATCACCCAACTCTTATCTAAAAGTAGCTGCCTTAAGGTTTTCTCTGAATCAATAGTAATAACTCCATTTATGCACAGGCTAAAACCTTGGAAACACCCCAAATCCTCTTTTTCTCTCATACTCTACATCCTATTCACCAGGAAATCCTGGTGGCTCTACTTTCAAAATATTTCCAGATTTTACCATCTAGCACTATCTCTGGTGCTACTATTCCAGCCTAAACTACCATAATTTTTAACTGAATTACAGCAGTAAGACCCCTGCTCCTTCCCTTGTTCCCAGTGCAGTCCATATTGTCAAACCAGGACCAGAGAGACCCTTTTAAAACCCAAGTCAGATCCTGTGCTTAAAATTCTCCAATGGATCCACATTCTACTGAGAGTAAAATCTCAAGTTCTTTGCAGTAGTTTGTAAGCTCTATAGGATCTGGCCTTAGCCCCATTACCACTTTTACCTTATGGCCACTATTGCCCCTTGGGCATTCCATTCCAGGCACACTGGCTCCTTGCTATTCCTCCAACAGGCCGAGCAAACTACTTGGTGCTGGAAAGTTCTTCCCCCCGATTATTTTGAGGCTAATTGCTTTATCTTTTTTAAATCTTGGCTCAAATTGCATCTTGTCCACATGGACTACCCTGACCACACTATTTAGTTTTATTGCTAGTCCGACCCCTACTTTATAGTTTATTTTTTTCTGTAGCACCTATGGCTTTCTAACAAACTACATTATTTACTTACTTTTTTTATTGTTTATTGTCAGTTTTCCCTGGTTAGAATGTAAGCTCCAGGAAGGCAGCAATTGTGCTCCTGACAAATCCCAGGAATACCACCTGTCACAGGGTAGATGCTCAATATGTATTTGTCAAACAAATGAATTCTGGAGACCTTGGGCAACTTTCTCTGTTTGCCAAAATTCTTAGTTTCTATTTCATAAAAGATGTTTTCTAAATTCTGACAATATGGAAATATCTAGAGCCCAACCTATATAAAATTTGATATTTCCATTTAAATCTAAAATCCAAAACATTCAAAGTTATTCTACCAAAATCCTCAATATTCAGTTAAAACAAACAAAAAAAAAGTTAAAAGCTATACATACCCAAATAATTTTTTCACAACCCAGAAGCAGATTGGTAAGCATCTGGAATTGTAGAACTCTCCAGATGTTTGTCTTGATAAAAAATAGTAACAGTAAAAAAAAATCCCAGTTATTGACTGAATGTTTCTGTTATTATTTTCATTTATCATTATGTTTTTGAGACAGGACCTCACTCTGCCACCTAGACTGAGGTGCACTCACAACTCACTGCAGCCTCAATCTGAGCTCAAGTGATCCTCCCACCTCAGCCTCCTGAGTAGCTGTGACTACAGGCATGCACCACCACGTTCAGCTGATTTTTTAAAAATTGGGGTTTCTGTTGCCCAAGCTGGTCTCTAACTCCTGGTGTGAAGCAATCCTCCTGCCTCAGCCTCCCAAAGTTACGGAATTACAGGCATAAGCCACCATGCCCAGCATGTTTCTGTTTATTATTTTATTTACATTTACTAGGATCACTAACTTATATGCATTATAGGCTGCCAATATTTGAGACTCATCATACAATGCTACCTAAAATTAAAGAATGTCATACTGTCAGGTAAAGCAAATGGCTTGAGATCTTTTGAGTTCAAAGGTAATATAAACTCAAAATAAGACTTGAAGGGAGATAACTACAGATATTCAATATTTTTAAAGGTCTCATGGTTGGATGAGCACAAATACAAAGTGTAAAAAGGCAACTTTGACTGTTATCTTTCTTAAGCATATCAACAATGTGGCCACGCAGTTGACAGAAATGTACAGCCTCTCAAGACAAAAATAATTTTTAAAACAATAATTTTCAGACTAGAAATATTTTGTTTTCCCCAAATTATACTCCATAATTATTTACTGAGTGCCTTTTGTTTGCTACCCTGAAAGGATAAAAAGGATAACACTAAGATTTCTAAAGAATATTATTGTCTGTGGCACCTTAAAAGTTAGAATTCTGTTAGAACACAACCTGCTATACTTGTCCTAATTCCAATTTTGAATAGGAGCTGATAAGACCCATGGCCACAGTGCCTGTTATAAGAAGACTGTGTATTGCTACAATAAAAATTTGGGCTCCAGAGGTCCAACACTCTGCTCCACCACTCTCGGGATGGCCATTTGTTGTTAGAGGACATGTGTCCCTGCATAGACATGTTAAAAGTGCATACTCCGGCCAGGTGCAGTGGCTCATGCTTGTAATCCCAGCACTTTGGGAGGCCGAGGCGGGTGGATCACCTGAGGTAGGGAGTTTGAGACCAGCCTGACCAACATGGAGAAACCCTGTCTCTACTAAAAATACAAAAAAAAAAAAAAAAAAAAATTAGCCAGGCGTGGTGGCGCATGCCTGTAATCCCAGCTACTCAAGAGGCTGAGGTAGGAGAATCGCTTGAACCCAGGAGGTGGAGGTTGCGGTGAGCCAAGATCGCGCCATTGCACTCCAGCCTAGGCAACAAGAGCGAAACTCTGTCAAAAAAAAAAAAGGTACACTCCATGATGACTCTTGCATTGGAGCTGGCCAGTGTGCTCTGCTGTACCTTGGCATGCTGTTTTCTTAGGTAGAGACTGAACTTACCACTGCAACAGGAAGGCAGCTCTCCCTCATATTTGCCCTCACTACTGCCCGAGTTCCATGTACTAATGGAGGTTTCCCTTTCTGCTGTGTTCAACTAAGAATGTTGGTTAAAGCCGAGAGTGGTGGTTCACGCCTGTAATCCCAGCACTTTGAGAGGCCAAGGCAGGCGGATCACCTGAGGTCAGGAGTTCGAGAGAAGCCTAGCCAACATGGTGAAACATTGTCTCTACTACAAAAAAAAAAAAAAAAAAAAAAAAATGCAAAAATTAGTCGGGCATGGCGGCGGGCGCCTGTAATCCCAGCTACTCAGGAGGCTGAAGCAGGAGAATCGCTTGAACCTAGGAGGTGGAGGTTGCAGTGAGCCGAGATTGAGCCACTGCACTCCAGCCTGGGCGACAGTGTGAGACTCCATCTCAAAAAACAAACAAAGAAACAAATAAAGATTACAGAAAGATCTAGCTATTTACAGTACACAAATTACTCTGTGTCTACAGGGATGACCAGAGTGGAAAGTGGGAGTAAAGAGAAACCACAATCAAGTACATGTGTCTCTTTCTGCCTGCTTACAAAAGGCAATTCTAGTTGACACCATCTTGAGCTGGAGGAGGTTCGCAGACTGCTGTGCTTTATCTGAAAATTGTTTCCAATTCAGCTTAACACCCATTTCTTGGTCCCTTCTTTTACAGCTAAGCATAGCAATATGGAAGAGACTGGGCAACAGATTTATTAAAACACCTCGTGTTACTGCTTTGTTGGTGGTGACAAATGGGCCTGAGAAGTTGCCCATTCCACAGGATAAGATAAATGCCGAATTTTTAAACGATCACATTTTTTCGCCAGAGCCTAAGATTCATAATAGTTTTGAGCTTTAATATCAGTGAATACATCATGAAGAACTCCACGCATATTACTGTGCAGATAGGCCTGAAAACTGATGGTATATTTTTCTGGTATGATCATCCGTATCAAAACTCAAATGCTAGGCACATGCACACTTAGGCAACTTTCCTTGATCCCTAAAAGCATGACATTCGGCTGTTTGGATACCAATTGTATCAGTTATTATATATCGTTAAGCACTAAATACAGTTCTACAGCAATCTAAACATTCTTCAAGTCAGCCCTGTCAAATAACCCTCATTTTCCTGAGGTCAAATCATGGCTTTTCCATTTACTGATGATCAGCTGGGTGAATGACTTACTTTCCCTGTACTTCAATTTTGTCATCTATAAATGAAAATTCATAGGATTCATAATAGTATCCACCTAGGTTGCTGTGAGGATTCAAGTATTAAATTCTAGTGAGCATACTACAACAGTAGCTAGCACATGGTATATCTAAAATAGTTATAACTATTTGAAATTACTAACACTTATGTAATAATGCTGCATGATGCCAGGGGAGCGTTCCTTAGTCTCTGCTCCTCCAGCCTCCTAAGCCTCTTACTTGCTGTCTCCTTCTAGGTCTGCCCTGTCTGCTCCTATTTGCCCTCACTACTGCCTGAGTTCTATTTTCCTACCACCCAGCACTTGCTCATGCTGGCTTTAGCACCGCCTGTTAGCTTCACTGCCCAATGCCTCTGCTACTCTCTGGGATTACCAATAGACCATTTTGGATAAATTCTGGCAAAATCATGACTCTTGCAAACTAATATAATAATGAATTATTTACAAATGTATGGACCTTGTATATCAAGTATGAATCTCTTATTCAACAAAGATGGTAACAGGATTAGTAATGATAAAATGCCTAACAACCGATACGCAGCTGAATTTACTGCAGGTAATTCAAGTCTCAAATAATTTAATCATAATTCTCCTCCAAATTATTTTCACAATATTTTACATTCTTGTAAATGTGTGTCCTGGATTCTAAAAACGTTTTTCATTTCTTCTCCATTTGACGTTTCTTCATTTGCTAGTATCACAATTGCTAGTTTTTGATAATTAGTCATTTTCTGAAAAGCATGTTTAAGTGCTAATGAACTTTTTGTCTCTTTCTTTTTTTTTTTTTTTTTTTTTGAGACAGTGTCTTGCTCTGTCGCCCAGGCTGGAGTGCAGTGGCACTGTCATGGCTCACTGCAGCTCTGACCTTACAGGCTCAAGTGATCCTCTCACTTCAGCCTCACAAGCAGCTAGGACGGCAGGTGCACCATCACACCCGGCTAATTTTTAAAAAATATTTTGTAGAGACGGGGTCCCACTATTTTGCCCAGGCTGGTCTCGAACTCTTGGGCTCAAGCGATCCTACTGCCTCGCCCTCCCAAAGTGATGGGATTACAGGCATGAGCCACCACTCATGCCCATCTACTTTTTAAAAACTCAGTGTATGATTTTAATATATCTTATCTGTATGCTGCTAAAGTACTAACTGGTCTATAAGAATTAAGAATAGCCAATGATCAACTGCAAAAAGAGTAACAAAACCTATCATGCTTTTACTTTATTCCATTCTTTGTTTTTTTCTTTTTCTCCCTATTTAAATGTACTGAGTGATAACTCCTTAATTAAAAGTGCCAGGTACTTGGCTAATTACTAGAGACAGAGAGACAAATAAGACACTATCTTCACCCTCAAGTAACTCATGGCTAATGGGAAAAGAACCATGAACAATTCTATAAATATCTGGAATGCCTGCCTTAACCCCACATTCATCCCCAGCCGACTGCAGCTGGGAAGCAAAGGCATCAGCCCAGGCATAGGATGATGAGACCAGAAGTAAGGCCGTGCCGAGGGGGAAGAGAAGAGGAACGCTGGAGACGTGCTGAGGAAACAACTGGCAGGGGCACTAGCTGTAGAAGGCAGGGCCAAGGAGGAGGAAAGGATGACATTTACTTCGCAACATTGCTAGTGTGACAGGGAAACAGTGCCTTTCACTTTAAGAACACAAGAAGAATGCTGTTTTGTGTGTGAGGATTTCAGGAGCCAGTGAGGCGAGGCTGTCAAAGATGCAGTCTGCCTTGACATTCACTGGCCTCAGCCGTCCCTAAACACACCATGTGCCCTCATTTTCAATCTCATTGTTATTATTAGATATAGTCCCTTTGGTACTTTCTTTAAACTACCATTTTGTTTTCATTTTAAGGGAGTGGGGAAAGCCTATTTGCCTAATTCAGGGCCAATTATACACAGGCTCTGATCCATTCATTATGTTTTGTTGTTTGTGGTCTCACTTGTCCTTCTTCCTCTAAGAAGGGCTGATTTCCTGAATTCTGTTAATAGCAGCAACAAATATCAGCCAAGTGATTCGGATGGAAGGACGAGGGGGAAGCACTCAATAAGATCCTAGATAACTTCTGTGGGTGTTTGCCAGTTCCTTCCGAACCCCAGAATTAAGAGCCAGGCGAAAATGAATTCAGAGCACATGCCACAGGCCCTGGGACAACTTTTCCCCAAGTGTGTTCTGTGGAGTGCTACTCTGACAAGAGGATCCTTCATCTCCCATCACTCCTGGCCACATCCAGGATTCTGTATGAAATATCTGTTATTTGCCCAATTTTAAAGCTTCATCTTGTACACTTACAATACTAGTGGGCATATCAGAGGCTCTGACAAGCTCTGCAATAGAAAAAAACCTGCTTAACTCTGAACTCAGTGTTTGTCTGGAAAACCTTTTCACCACATATTATTGTAAGTCAACATCCCATAGAGCTAGTATATCTTGGAACATGTTTTGGGAAAAGCTGCCCTAGGGACTCTGTCCCACATTCCTGACAGCTACGTTTTGGCTGTTTCCCAGACCTTCACATTGCCATTACTGGCACGTGCTTTTGACTTCTCGGTAATCATCTTGGGTGCCCTCACGACCCTGACTTTGAAATCATGAACCCAAACTCCAACCTGCTGTTGGACCTGATCCCGTATGTTCCCAGCCTTGAGGCTGCATGATCTCACGATGTTCTGACCACAAAGCAGCAGTAGGGCAGGACCCAGGATGCCTGAGTTTTATGCATGGAGTCTACAAATGGAGTAGCCCTCAGCCTAAAAGATCAGATGAAACCACATTCTGTAATTCTGCCAGTCCACTTTCTCTTCATTCTCTCCACCTCCCTCATTTCTCTCAAATGCAAAATCCCACAACCTAACAGACTTGGAGGCATGCA
This sequence comes from Homo sapiens, assembly GCF_000001405.40. Taxonomy (NCBI): domain Eukaryota; kingdom Metazoa; phylum Chordata; class Mammalia; order Primates; family Hominidae; genus Homo; species Homo sapiens. Next base: position 32,548,589 of record NC_000012.12, on the reverse strand, counting down.
ACTTTGGAACCACAGGAAATCTCCAAAGGAACTGGTTCTTTCCTTGAAGTGATTATAAAATAAATCTGCATGCTGCTTTAAGTACAGGAAGCAAGTATCATAATAATTACCAATACAGAGAATAGTAATATGGAAATGCAGAATAATGCATGCAGTTTTATTTCATTGAGACAAGTATCATAAGATCTCAGAATACAAAAGCAAATTTCTGGCCTGTAGTTCTAAGTAGCGAAAAGATATATTAGCCCTTTGCTTTGTTACCTCCTTGTGGGTTTAAACTCTAAGATCGGACAAAACACTTCATTTGATAAGAAACTTGACTTCACATTGAAGATCTATAATCCAACCACCCCCTCACACATGGATGCCGCAACAGGGTACTAGCGTATGCTCCCTGGAAAAAATCGTTTTCAAAATGGCCTTTTCTCAACTGATTTGTTCTCTGGACACCAAGTCAACTCTGTAAATGCAAGGTAACATATAGCTTCAGGAAGGGATACACCGATGCTGAGACATGTCCTTCAGTAGCATACTAAAAAATATTTATCCTGAATGTCACAAAAATATTAACAATCATAACTTGAGGCCGGGTGCAGTGGCTCATCCCTGTAATCCTAGCACTTTGGGAGGCCGAGGCAGGTGGATCACTTGAGGTCAGCAGTTTGAGACCAGTCTGGCCAACATGGTAAAACCCCGTCTCTACTAAAAAATAAAAATTAGCTGGGTGTGGTGGCGGGTACCTATAATCAGAGCTACTCAGGAGGCTGAAGCAGGAGAATCGCTTGAACCCGGGAGGCGGAGATTGTAGTGAGCAGAGACTGCACCACTGCACTCCAGCCTGGGCAACAAAGTGAGACTCCGTCTTAAAAAAGACTTGGGATTTCATAGTGCTTTAAAACTAATGCAAACTTGCTTTTAAATACTACTGCTATTCTTACTACTGTTAGTAATAATGGTAGAAATCATATCTAATAATATTGAGTGTTTATTGTGAGGCAAGCACACATTGTGCAAAGCACCTTATATGCATTATTTCATTTACTCCACTCAAGAATACTATGATGTAAAGTATAGCAGGCATTTTTATGTCCATTATACAGATGATTAAGAGGTGGTAAGTGGTTAGGCTGGGGTGTGTGTGTATGTGTGTGTATTTTTTGTTTTTACATGCAGACAGGCTGGAATATAGTGGCATGACCATATCTCACTGCAACCTCAAACTCCTGGGCTCAAGTGATCCTCTCACCTCAGCCTCCCAAGGAGGTGGGACTACAGGTGTATGCCACCACACTCAGCTATTTTTTTTTTCATTTTTGTAGAGACTGAGTCTCATCATCTTGCCCAGGCTGGTCTCAAACTCCTGAACTCTAGTGATCCTCCTGCCTTGGCCTCCCAAAGTGCTGGAATTACAGATCTGAGCCACCGTGCCCAGCCTTGCCTGATGTTGAATGTCATATCTACATGTGGTTTGTAAGCAATTTGTGGACACAGATTCTAGCTATTGATTCTTTGGCTTTCACTGAGCAGGTACACAAGTCACTGCAGCTATTTGCCCTAATTCTGTGCCTTTATTAGGCAAGATTATGCAGCTAGGAGCTTCAAAATACCCAGGGCATCAAACAAATCAATTTAAGAAATATAAGGTAAGAGGAACATGAGTCTTGATTTAGGATAACTCAATAGACATCAAGACAGAATTCCAGATTACCTTGCCTGTTTCCAGCTTTGAACCACTTCTCACCACCTCTTCAGCTCTGCACACTCCTGACCTTCTTCTTTTCCTCTTGTTCTGCTCCCCATTTCTGACCTACATTTGCTTCTCAAATCGAGGCTGATGAGGCCTCACCATTGTAGACTCTTCGACATTCTCTTTGGAAACCAGTGGGCACACTCTCATAGACTCACTTTATGCTAGTCAAGTCCTACTTCCCTCCATGCTCTATGGCTGCAGTTTCTGCTAGGCCTGACCCAAACCTCCTCAGGGAGAAGTCAGAAAAGTGCTCACAAGGCACTGTCACATAGACAGCACACCTCATTTCACCTTTGGCATCCCTAAAGAGTGAGACAGATACCTGCACATTATAGGTAAATAAAAGTAGGGTTGGTTAAAAGTGGCAAAGCCACGAGTCACAACAGGGCTTTTAATTCCAAGGTCACTGCTCTTTCCACCACAACTGAGGGCCCTGTTGTCAGGTCAATATGTGTTTTGCATTAGAAGTGGGTTCATGTCTGGGGTGGTGGCTCCTGCCTGTAATCCCAGCTACTTGGAAGGCTGAGGCGGGAGAATGGCTTCAGCCCAGGAGTTTGAGACCAGCCTAAGCAACATACTGAGACTCCATCTCTTTAAAATAATGAGAAGAAGAAAAGAAAAAGAGAAACAGGCTCATAATCTGGAGCTGTACTTCTAATATTTGGGTGGCTGTGGGAACCCATTAGCATTTGTTTAATTTTGCTAAAGAGTCTACTGGCCACACATAAGTACAACAAAGATCTTAGATCCAAATGAACTGAAATAAATATTGTTGTGAGAAACTAACAATATTCACAAAAATAAAGACAGTGTATCATAAAACAGATTTTAAGAAAAACTTTCAGATTTAAAATGAATTCTTAGAATCTGTTCCAGGAAATTAAAATAATTATGAATGCCCTAGAGCAAATTCAGATCTTTAATTCGCTTGAAGAATTCAGCAATTATACCCTGCTACAGACTTCAAGCATTTCCTCTCCAAAGCTGGAATATGTGCCAACTGTTTCCCCTACTGGAAGGGTTAGAAGCAACAGAAAAACGTTAAGAGCTGCATAGATATGAATTCAACAAGCACTCATCTAACACCTTGCAACAGAGGCCACTGTAACAGTACCAGGAAGTAAGGCACCACGTGGGACCAGTAACATCTTCAGCCTACTCTTAAGGAGCCAACTTTCCAATGGGAAGATTAAAACAATCCTCAATCAGGGATCTGCAGCCTACAGGTCACAGGCCAAATCCAGCTTCTGTCAATAAAGTTTTACTAGAATACACATTCATTCATTTACATAATGTGTATGATGCTTTTTACTATGTTAGTAGAGTTGAGTAGTTGCAACAGGGACCATATGGCCTGCAAAGCCTAAAATGTTTACAATCTGGCCCTTCACAGAAAAAGTTTACAGAACTTGACCTAAATAATCAAGGCAACAAACTATGAATTACCACTATAATTTTCCAGTTTTGGTTGTGTCCCCAGCTAGTGGTGTGACCTTGGGCAAGTAAAAACCTCTAGGTTTCTGTGAACTCATTAGCAGCACCATACACAGTTGATCTAGCACATCTTGGCTGATAACCCACTCTGGAATGTATTTAATAAATTCACAGTGTTATATGGTATAATCTTCAGTTTCTTACTGTTCTAAACCCTGCATGCCTACCATGCGATTGTGTCAGTTGCTTTCCTATTTTAAGCAAAAATTATCTTCCCCAACTATCTCTACTGCATGTAAACCAGTAGACCAGAACGGGTTAGCCACCTCTAAAAAATCATGCTTCTCAAGGTCAGTAGCTCTCAACCATGACTACATTAGAATCACCTGTGGAACTTTAAGAAAGAAAACTGCAATACCTGGGTTGCACCCCAAACCACTTAAGTCAATCTCTGGGATATGAGACCCAGGTATCAGTGTATGTTAAAGCTTCCCAGGCAATCCCACTGTGCAGTCATGGTTGAGAGTCACCATGCTTAGTGTTATTAACAGGCTTGGATCAAAATAGTATTTATAGTGGAAGCTATATGAAATGAATTCCATAATTTTCAGCTGGTAAGCTAAAGTTCACCAAAACACCATGAAGACTAATTTTAATAGTAATTTTTTTTTTTTGGAGACAGAGTATCCTTCTGTCACCAGGCTGGAGTGCAATGGTGCGATCTCAACTCACTGCAACCTCCACTTCCTGGCTCAAGCAGTCCTCTAGCCTCAGCCTCCTGAGTAGCTGGAACCACAGGTGTGAGCCACCACGCCCGGCTCATTTTTGTATTTTTTTGTAGAGACGGGATTTCACCATACTGACCAGGCTGGTCTCAAACGACTGAGTTCAAAGTGATCCACCTGCCTCAGCCTCCCAGAGTGCTGGGATTACAGGCATGAGCCACTGCACCCAGCCAAAAACAATTTTCTTTGTTTTGAGAGAGTCTTGCTTTGTCACCCAGGCTGGAGTGCAGTGGCACCATCTCGGCTCACTGCAACCTCTCCCTCCCAGGTTCAAGTGATTCTCCTGCCTCAGGCTCCCAAGTAGCTGGGATTACAGGTACCCACCACCACGCCCAGCTCATTTTTGCATTTTTTGTAGAGACATTTTTTGTTTCACCATGTTGGCCAGGCTGGTCTCGAAATCCTGACCTCAGGAGATCCACCCATCTCGGACTCCCAAAGTGCTGGGATTACAGACATAAGCCATGGCTGCTGGCTCTGGCCAAATTTTACTAGTAATTATTTAAGCTCATAGCACCATGTGACTCTTGTTTAAGTCACAGCAAATACTTCTGTGCAAAGTATGAAGTCCTCTTCACAGATAAGTAATAGTAAGATTATCTGATTTTAGAATCCATTTGTGACATAATAAAAATATATATACTTGATCTCTGGTTTCTGACAAAGGACAGCACTTAAATCTCTTGTAATTTCCGGCTGGGTGCGGTGGCTCACACCTGTAATCCCAGCACTTTGGGAGGCCGAGGCGGGCGGATCATGAGGTCAGGAGATCAAGACCATCCTGGCTAAGATGGTGAAACCCCGTCTCTACTAAAAATACAAAAAAATTAGCTGGGCGTGGTGGCGGGCATCTGTAGTCCCAGCTACTTGGGAGGCTGAGGCAGGAGAATGGCATGAACCCAGGAGGCGGAGCTTGCAGTGAGCTGAGATTGCACCACTGCACTCCAGCCTGGGCAACACAGTGAGACCCTGTCTCAAAAACAAAACTCTTGTAATTTCCTAAGTGGTGGGGATAATAGGAGCATCTTTTGTTCCTAACGGAGAGTTCTTAAATCTCTTGACACTTCCTGGGTGGTAGAAGCCTCTTTTGATGAAATGACTCTTGGCGTAACCCTAGGTAGCCTCAGGATGGAGGTGGCTGCCAGAAAGACCAAGTAATGATCAGAAGCATGGAACTTTCAGACCTATTCCTCCCAACTTCTGGAGAGGGAGAGTGCCTGGAGACTGAGTTAATAATTGATCACGTCTACATGATGAAACCTCTAAGTGACAAGGATCAGAGAGCTTCCAAGTTGGTGAATACATCCATGTGCAGGGAGGGTGGCCTACCCTAACCCCATGGGACAGGAGCACCCATGTTCAGGAATCTTCTGGACCTCACCTTATGTATTAATCTCTCTTTATCTGGCTGTTCATCTATATTCTTCATAGTATCCTTTATAATAAACAAGCAAATGTCAGTAAAGTGCTTTCCTGAGTTCTGTGACCCAATCTAGCAAATTATTAAATCTGATGAGGAGTTCATGGGAACCTCTGATTTACGGTGAGTCAGTCAGAACTACGGGATGCCTGGGACTTGTGACTGGCATCTAAAGTGGGGATAGTCTTGTGGGACTCAGCGTTTCACCTATGGGATCTGACGCTAACTCCAGGTAGAGCTGAAGAACTGGTTGTTGCTGTGAAGAAAACCCCCCATTTGGTGTCAGAAGTGTTCTCTGGGTACAAAGAGATAATATCACTACCAAAAACAACCTAGACATCCCCTTATATGAAAAGTCACCAGTTAGGAGCCTTGAGAAATCAAAAGTAAATTATTTATGGCCAACAGAGGGCATGAAAAGCTCCTATACAAGGAGAAACTTCTGTAACAATGAAATCAAAATTTTTATTGACTTCATAAAGTGTGAAAGAAATAAAAGCAGATGTAGGAAAAGAACTCGAAAGGCAAAAGCCTTTTTCTAAGAGCTGTAGCCAACTCATTTATTCACAATGTCTGGTTTATAAATCGACCAGATTCTTGGCTTTTCCCTTGCTTCTGCCCACTGCCAAACTATTTTCCATTTATTCACAACAAATTTATCTGCAGGTCCAGAGAGGAGAAGAAAATCAAACTGCCTAATATTTCATAAGTTTTCACAAGGAGGCTGCTAAAACCAAATAAAATTGTTTTTAATTATCTCAATCACAAGTAACCAAGGGTGAACAAATGTTTCTCTTCACAAAAGGGAAAATAGATCCTTTTCATAAGCAAATTCTTCCTGACATTGTTGCTATTAATTTTGTACTACTTTGCTGGTTTATTTTTCTAAACTTGATTTCTCTAAATCTGAAATCTAGCAGCTAAAACATCCCAGCCTAACACTATTTCTGTAAACTAATTTCTGTAGACTTTATCTGCTTAAAACTACCTCAGCCTACTGTGTTGCAACACTTTGTTTTGCAGTTACCAACACTGCTCATTCAACCTGTATTTTGCTTCACGGCATTAATAGATAAAATGAACACTGCTAAGTAGGAAAAACTCCTCAGGACCAGCCAGTCACCCAAAAGCTGCTACTTTAAATGCACCAACACTATCATTTGTTCCAAGGTAAGGATCACCCAGACCTGCGGTGAAACGCAAGGTGATGTTTATCTGGGAAGTACATTTTTTTTTTTCCCTGAGGAAAAAAGCAGGGTGGATTACTAAAACTAGTGGTTGAAAGGTCAAATTTTTGACATGATTATTTTGACTGTGGGAAAGTTACTTAACTTCCTTATAAATTAGAGAAATATTTTTACTGCTCTACTGACATCTCTTAGGCATAGATATAGATCAAAATTCTTCTTTTTGATGGTTGGTAATTTTAAGAAAAACATGTAACAAATTAGGTGACTCTAAAAAAGGCTTGGTGATACCCTCTACTCCTGACTCTCCTCTTTATTTTGATATTCTCTTTTTAAGAAAAAATATTACTGGCCGGGCACGGTGGCTAACGCCTGTATTCCCAGCACTTTGGGAGGCTGAGGCGGGCGGATCACCAGGTCAGGAGATTGACACCAGCCTGGCCAACGTGGTGAAACCCCGTCTCTACTAAAAATACAAAAATTAGCTGGGTGTGGTGGCAGGCGCCTCTAATCCCAGCTACTCAGGAGGCTGAGGAAGGAGAACCGCTTGAACCCGGAGGCAGAGGTTGCAGTGAGCCGAGACTGAGCCACTGTACTCCAGCCTGGCAACAGAGTGAGACTCTGTCTCAAAAAAAACATTACTATAAACCCCATTTTACTAAACATTTAATATTTAGCAGCTTACAAAGTTAAGTATTGGCTTTCCTTACTCCCTGCTGCAAAATCAGACTAGCAGGCCTCACATTTTTTCTAGACCCAGAGCACAATAGCATTGTGTGTTAGGCTTCTAACAGTGTAGGGGATTGTTTCAGTCATGCAAAACTTAAAAAGCAAATACTGCTTCTAGCTTATCCATTATTTCCTATTTTTTTTTGGCTGACAGAAGAAAGAAGTTAGGAAGAAAAAAAATGAACCAGTTAATCAAAGATAAACCAATTTTCCAATTCTGAATTTTAAAACTGCATTACTTAAGCCATATTTGGCTACATCTAATACAATTTTTCTCCTACAAATAAAAAGTCTGACTATTTTATTCATTCAATGATATAACGAATTTTATTACTCCCTTGCTTAAAATCCTTTAATGGAACTGCAAGGCTCGATGGGGAGGGGGAACCTCAAAACCTCTAGCTTGCATAAAGGACCCTTCACATTAAGACATCAATCTTGCCTGTAATCCCAGCGCTTTGGGAGGCAGAGGCGGGCGAATCACCTGAAGTCAGGAGTTCGAGACCAGCCTGACCGACATGGAGAAATCCCATCTCTACTAAAAATACAAAATTAGCTGGGGGTGGTGGCACATGCCTGTAATCCCAGCTACTCGGGAGGCTGAGGCAGGAGAATTGCTTGAACCTGGGAGGTGGAGGTTGCGGTGAGCTGAGATCACACCATCACACTCCAGCTTGAGCGACAAGAGTGAAACTCTGTCTCACAAAAAAAAAAAAAAGAAAAGAAAGAAAGAAAAAAAAAGGCGTCAATCTCCTGAAGGGCCTAATATCCATCTACTCAGAACTATGCACCCCTAACACTCTAGCCACATTCTCATCTTCTCCATTCCTGGAAAACACAGTTCTCTTTTCATATGTTTCTCTCTGCTTTTGCATACGTTGGTTCTTTTAGCTTAAAAAACAGAAAGTCTTTGTTTAAACAAATTTATCAATATCTAGCTCCAATGTTACCTTTTTTGAGGAAATTTCCTTGAATCAATGAAACAGTTGTTCCTCCTTTTCTATTCTCCAAACATATTTTGTACCTCTCCTATGACATTTCTCATAGTCACTGCATTTAGAGGTCTATGAGGGAGGCGAACTTAAACCTCCTTGAACATAGAGGTATTACACAATTTTTAGGATTGAGTATAGTGAATACAGTTACATTTCCTAACCCTAAGCATGACTTGTTACCATTCTGTATCAAAATGGTCAATTTTAGATAAAAAGTTACCAGAAATACCTTTTTTCCTTGATATTTCTTATTTTGCTATTTTACACTCTAAATTAGTAACTCTGATGGAAATAAATTTAAAAAAAATTTACTGGGCAATATTAGAGAAAAACATGATATTTCTAATAAATCAGTAACTACTGATAGACATTAAGGGGCTTACACATTTATAAAATAACAAAATTATTTTCAAGCTTTGTATAATTTCTTTTTGCTATAGTCAAAATTGATTCCATATTTCTAAGAAGTCATGTAATCTAATAATGTATAATTACTATTCAGATCAAGTATATTATCAAATAGCAAACAGCAGTTCATAGATTTTAACTGCATTTGGGGAAGGGAACTTTTTTTTTTAACATTAACTGTTGGCTACAGATTTTAAAATGCAGGTCAATTTCCAATTATCTAGATAAATTTGGAAATAAATTACATGAAGTGTAAACACAAATAATTCTTACACTTTAATTCATGTACTGGCTTTTTTTTTTTTCCCCCCTGAGACAGAGTTTCGCTCTTGTTGCCCAGGCTGGAGTGCAATGGCGCGATCTCAGCTCACTGCAACCTCCGCCTCTCAGGTTCAAGCGATTGTCCTGCCTCAGCCTCCCAAGTAGCTGGGATTATAGGCATGTGCCACTACGCCCAGCTAATTTGATATTTTTAGTAGAGATGCGGTTTCTCCATGTTGGTCAGGCTGGTCTTGAACTCCCAACCTCAGATGATCCACCCACCTCAGCCTCCCAATGTGCTGGGATTACGGATGTGAGCCACCGCACCTGGCCCGTGTATTGGTTTTCTATTCCACATCAAGCCTTACAGGAACTACTAAGGAAATATTTCTAGATTATTTTTTATTCAATCGTTTTACTTTTCCTATCACCCTCCTACAAGAGTGCTTCAAAGAGTGAAATGACTTAAATGTAGGAAGAGAAAAAACAAAAAGTGGGGCAAGTATATCATTAATATAAAATATTAAGGACCTCTTTTTCTTATTTATTTTTATCTTTTTATTTATTGAGACAGAGTCTCCCTCTGTCACCTAGGCTGAAGTGCAATAGCACGATCTCAGCTCACTGCAACCTCCACCTCCTGGGTTCAAGCAATTCTCCTGCCTCAACCTACTGAGTAGATGGGACTACAGGTGCGTGCCACCACGCCCAGCTGATTTTTTGTATCTTTACTAGAGACGGAGTTTCACGGTGTTAGCCAGGATGGTCTCGGATCTTCTGACCTCATGATCTTCCCTCCTTGGCCTCCCAAAGTGCTGGGATTACAGGTGTGAGCCACTGCGCCTGGCCTAAGTACATCTTTAATAGCAAAAAATCTTGGCCACAATTTTCTCCACACAGACAGTATCGCTCCAGATTTCTTGGTTTCACACCCCAAAGCTTCTCCCTCATCTCTTTTCTGTCTTACGACACAGCCCATTAATTAATCATCCAAAATCATGTACGGGCTCAGCCACAGATTCCAATCTCACTAACCCACTAACCCCTCCATACTTTCTTCATACTTCTTTATATCAACTTGGCCTGTGAGGCTTCCAATAGCAGGAACTCATTATTGACATGCTGCTCAACAAGGGACACCAGAGGTTAGCAAGCAAGGATATTTATTCTTAAAAGAGAACTGAAGGGAAGAAATGGAGAACACTACAAATATTTATAATTTATTAAACTTCTTATATTCCTGCTCATTTTACATTTCCCAACAGAAAAAGGCACTGAATATTAGAAATGTATTCAATCAACAAATATTAACAAAGCACCCAGTATCTATTAGTTACCTTTCTAGACCCTAGGAACATAGCAGTGAACACCACAACAAAAAAATAACCTGTATAACATGCTAAATGGTAAAAGTGCTATGATGGGCCAGGCACAGTGGCTCACACCTGTAATCCCAGCATTTTGGGAAACCAAGGCAGGTGAATTGCTTGAGCTCAGGAGTTCGAGACCTGCCTGGGCAACATGACAAAACCCATGTCTCTACTAAAAATATAAAAAGTAGCCAGGCATGGTGGTGTGTGCCTGTAAGTCCTGGCTACTGTGGAGGCTGAGGTGGGAGGATCGTTTCAGCCTGAGAGGCAGAGGTTGCAGTGAGCCAAGACTGCGCCACTGCACTCCAGCCTGGATGACAGAAAGACTCTGTCTCAAAACAAAACAAAACAAACAAACAAAAAAACTGCTATAACGAAAGTAAAGCTGGGTGAAGGAACAGGCGTGCTATTAGGTGAGAGGCTATTATTATATCCTATATACAGGGAGGACAAGGAGGTCTCACTAATACTCTGCTAGCTGAGTAGACATGAAGGGAATAAGGCATAACATATTTTGAGGATTAGCATTCCAAGCAAAGTGTAAAACTACAAAAATCCTAAGGTAGAAGCACAGTTGATATGTTCAAAGAGAAATAAGGAAGACAACATGGATAGACTAGGGAGCATATTTGATGCTGAGGTCAGAAAGTTAAGGGGTAGGGATAGGGATAGGGGCTAGAGAAGGTAGGGCCTTGCACATCATTGAAAGAACAGGGGATTTCCTTTGAAAGAGATGGGAATTCACTGAAGGACTGCGAGCAGAGAAGTGGCAATTATCTGCCCTCCGTTTTTAGAGGTGCACACAGGCTGTTAGGTAGACAATGGACTCCAGGAGGTCAAGGGTAGATAGGAGGCTAGTAGAAGCAATCCAGGGGAAAGCTGTGTGTAACCTAAAGCAGGGCAAGTAACAGTAGAGGCAATAAGACATAGTCAGTTTGATATATCTTGAAGCAAGATTTGTTGCCAGATTGTACATAAGAGAAAAATGACTCAAGGAAGACTAGGTTTTTGGGACTAAGCATAAGAAATAATAACTGCTTTATGGCCAGGCGTGGTGGCTCACGCCTGTAATCCCAGCACTTTGGGAGGCCGAGGTGGGCGGATAATGAGATCAGGAGATTGAGACCATCCTGGCTAACACGGTGAAACCCTGTCTCTACTAAAAATGCAAAAAATTAGCCGGGCATGGTGGCGGGTGCCTGTAGTCCCAGCTACTCGGGAGGCTGAGGCAGGAGAATGGTGTGAACCCCGGAGGTGGAGCTTAGCGCCACTGCACTCCAGCCTGGGTGACAGAGCGAGACTCTGTCTCAAAAAAAAAAAAGAAAAGAGAGAGAGAAAAAAAAGAAATAACTGCTTTATAATGGCATGGAAAAGACAAGACCACAGTGACACAGTCTTTTTTGTTTGTTTGTTTAAATGTTTTAAAAATGTATTTGTGTGTACTTATTCTCTAAGAGGGTGAAAGACTCATTTTCCCCAGGCCAAGTTTTATTATAATAACCACCATGTAGAATGACCAAATTCTACGATTAACACTATTTTTCTTCTCCTAAGTGTTTTCCTTCTGCCTGCTTCAACGTATAACCAACTAACTTGTGTCAATTCGCCAGGGAATAAAAATGGAAGGATCTGTTCTAGCCAGAGCTTAGCAGGTGCTGTGGTGGGAGATAAATCAGAGAACACACACAAACCAGGGTGAAGACATTTACAAATGTACTTTAGCCAATAAAAATTAGCTTGTTATTTTATAAAGAAAACAGGTGCCTACAGTAAAGGTTATCAGAAGGTGGCTCAGGAAGTGGGCAGGGATGGTCCACAAAACATCTAAGAAAATACCTTTTTATTTTTGAAATAAATGACTTCAACTTTTCCCTGGATTATTCCAGGAGTCTCCTATCTACTCTTGACCTCCTCAAGTCTATTCTAGTATCTAAGAAGAACTGATTAAATTTAAATCTTAATCCTAGTTTGCAGTTTAGGTTACATGTACATTTGGATGTTTATTAAAGGAACACCAAGTTATCATTCTTCCAAAGAACTGCATAATATTTCCTATTGAGTCATTCATCATACTCTATCATATTTCATTTCTTTCATGTGAAAGGAGTTTGCCTGAAAGCGTAAGCTTTAGAAAGAGAAGTTTTTTCAGGTCATTAAAAAAAAAAAACTGTTATAAAATAACATGTGCACTAAATATGCATATTTACAATTTTTCTTAGATGATTTAACAAAATTATCCAGTAGTGTAGGCAGGAAGTGCTATATTACTGTCTTCTCAGTTTAAAAACCTAAAAAGGAACTTATAAAGTCCATATTGTTGTAGTGGCCACTCTCTAAAGGGTGCTGTCCATTAAAGCAGAAAACAAGAGCCAACAAGTTCTCTATGTTTATCAACATTCACCTCTCAAGCTTCATCTTCCTGTTCTAGAAATATTTTCCTCTCTAATTAAGAGCTGCCTTCCAGGAGGGAATACTGTCTCTCCAATCATCTCTAACTGTTTGAAGATAAATGAGAATGGACAGAAGCTATTTCAGGAAAAAGAGAACCTAAAACTTCACTGCTTGGGGTGAGAAAACACTTCCCTTTTGCTGCATTTCTTTTTTTTTTTTTAATTTCATATTTAGAGTATGATGGTAAATTTTGGAGAGATCACAAGACCTCCAAACTTTATGCAAGAGTGGTGGAACGCCTGCAAAAGAATTCAGGCTTCTGCCTGAGTGATGGAGGGAGCAGGGGCAGGCATGGACTGGGCTGCTTAACCCTCCCGCAGCTACTAGAACCTGGGAACGGAGCCAGCTGTGCAGCTGCAGGAGTGGCGCCTCAGCTCTCCTGAGGCAGTGCTGTCACCAACCCCAACCTTGGGCTTCCACACTCAGCGTATGCCCCTGACACTTAAGGAAGGAAAGAGCCACACCACCATCAGAAAGAATACTGGTAACTGTGAAGGCTGCCGGTTCTAAGTTGTAGTTTATCTTGTTCAGCAGTGTGGACATTTTTCAGTGAGGCTTATATCCAGTCAAAAACGAATGGGAAAATAAACAAAATGAACCCATTTCAGTGATTAAAAATATTTTTAGCAGACATTTCCCGTCACATGATTACATTTCTATCACACAGTTGAATTACATTTCTATTTCAAAGACTCAATTTCTCATTAATATGCTCTCTACAACACTCAAAGAGACCACAGTGGCTTAATACTACTACCACTAACAATTTTTAAAAAACAAACTCATGCCTATCTCTACAATGTTGTCTTTTACAGAAAAACAAATAATACTTACTCCCCTGAACTTCACCAAAACAAGACTGGGATGGTGGGAATTTTTGTTTGTTTTAACAGAACAATGCTCCGTGCAGTAGCACTAGAAAAATGATTAGTGGTAAATATTTCTTAACATTTGTTCACACCAGAAATGGGAGGAAAAAGAGAAAACTGTTCCTTTCTTTCTCTATATTTCTCCCCTCAATGACCAAATTTCCAAACTTTACTTATGATAATAAAAATAAGCCAGAGAAACTTAACTATCAAACTCATTTGTATCTGGTTAGCCCAGAAGAAGCCTCCTGGAGAGCCAAAACCCATCAATAGCACATATTTTAATCTTGAACTTGAAAACCAATGTGAGCTTTATTAACTTTAAAAGAAAACCAAACTCTGCCACTTTTACATCCCTCGGCATGCAGTGTTATAAAGTGACCCACGCTGGGGAAGAAAAAAATATATCTACTAGAAAATGAAACCACTTACCTTGATCAGTGGACATGATTTCACATATACTGATAATTAATCTACTCTGGTTTAATAAAAAGATATTTGGCTTTACTCTTTTAAAGTTCATGTGATAAAATCTCACTCCTGGCTGTAAAGCTTCAGGGAGGCTGAAGATTACACAGGATCTGCCAGGAGCTCAGACCAATGCACTATGACTTCAGTGCATTCTTCGAACTTACTGCCCAAGGACGACCTTATGCAAAACATGCCACACCTCCCCAGAGGACGGACTGCTGCAGTACATTGCATGAGAGGGAGTGTATGAGCACAGAGAGACTTCTATTTATCAAAGTAAAGTAAACAACTGAGGCACATGGAACCTTTAAAAGCATTCAAAGTACAGCTGGGAATAGGGCGATTTCTAAATGGACTAATGCCTTAACTATTAGTAATGCTCTAAAAAAGCTAATGGGAAAACAGTTTGTTTCTATTTTAACAGGGCTCCTGCCCTGGACCAAAGATGTTGGTTACAGATTCATGATTCACAAGCTTAAGATGTTAAAATCTCATTTTGAATGACCTCAAATATCCCATTTATGTTTTCCTTTCCAGCATAGCTCATTGATTTCAGTGACTAAATAATACAGAATTAATAAATACTACATACAAATTTCCTAAGGAAAACAAGTCGTATATGTTATTTCAAAACATAGTTTAACTGGTAAAATATTTATTACTCATTTTTATCTGTCTTTATAAGTACATTAGTAATTTCTCATGGCCTTGAAAAATCAGAAAATGTCAGATTAAAGCCAGGCGCGGCGGCTAACGCCTGTAATCTCAGCACTTTGGCACGCCGAGGTGGGTGGATCACCTGAGGTCAGGAGTTCGAAACCAGCCTGGCCAACATGGTGAAATCCATCTCTACTAAAAATACAACAATTAGCCGGGTGTGGTGGCATGCACCTGTAATCCCAGCTACTCAGGAGGCTGAGGCAGGAGAATCGCTTGAACCCAGGAGGCAGAGGTTGCAGTGAGCTGAGATTGCGCCGCTGCACTCCAGCCTCGGTGACAGAGTGAGACTCCATCTCAAAAACAAACAAACAAACAAAAGAAAATGTCAGATTAAAATATTTATAAAATCATAATGAGTTAACAGGTTACAGACATTCTCCCTCACTGGGGAAAATAACCTCTCCAACCCCCTCCTCTTTGTGTCCAGACACAGTAGTTCCCTCTCTCTAGTGTGCACTTGAATCACCTACTGGGTTATCAAGACATACATCACTGAGTGCCCTATCAAAGTCAGATTCAGTGCATGGTGGGGCCACATAATTTGCATTTCTAACAAGCTCCCAGGTGACAGTGACACTGCTGACCTGGGCCTTCACTCCAGGAATCACACTTTGAGAACCACTGGGGCAGTGAATTGCTGGGTTAGGGAGGATTAAAGGACTTGCTAAATTGCACACCTGCTAGGAGCTGATGGATGTCAGGCAGGAGCCAATACAGTGCTGAGGATGAGGTGTGAGGGGTTTGTTCTCCCACTTCAACACAAGCTCCCCATCAGGACACAAAGGTTGTCAATCATTCTAATGAAAGTGGTACTTTTTTAATAACAGAAATGTGTATATAAGGCATAAATAAATAAGCTTTACAATTAATCTGATACAGAATAGGGTAATAGTACATGGAGAAAAAAGTCAAAGAGAAGAAACCTGAATTGTTTTTAACTCCTTTGCAAACTCCACCCATATGTGTTAAAATTTCACTGTGGCAGAGAATCTGTTTAGGTTTGGTTCCAAGACCACTTAGCCTTAGCAAATTTCAGTAATGTAAAAACCAGAATACTTCCCTGTCACAAAAATGCCCCAACGTCTGTCTGTACTTCCTGAGCTTTGATAGCAATGTTTAAATTGTAATCTCAGGTTTGGTATTAAAACAAACACTTTAAAAAAAAAAAAAGCTAACATGTGCTCTCTGCCCATTGCTATGTTAAGCATTTTCCATGTAGAATTTCATAAAGTCCTTATTGCAGGGTAATAATTTATCACCATCTTACAGAAGAATATCACTCTGTAAGGTAGTGTTAATTTATCACCATTTTGCAGAAGAGAAAACTAAGTTTAGGAGGTCAAAAATCTTGATCACTCATGCTAGTACAGTGATAACCATTAAGATATTAAATTCACTGTTGTACAACAAATTAAGATATAATGGTATAGCAGTCACCCTTTACCTGTGATCAACTTCAGTCTGAAAATATTACATATAATATTTTGAGAGAGATACCACATTCACATAATCTTTATTACAGTATATTGTTATAATTGTTCTATTTTATTGCTATTGCTGTTAATCTCTTACTGTGACTAATTTATAAATTAAACTTTATCATAGCTATGGATGTAAAGGAGAAAACATAGTATATATACTGTTCAGTACTATATGCAGTTTCAGGCATCCACTAGGGTCTTGAAATACATCCCCTGTGGATAAAGGGACACTACTGTATTCACTTTTAATCTTTATAGATGAAAGCCAAAAATCAAAACATGGTTTGCAGGAGAAAGTGATAACTAAAATAAAATATAACAATTATGATTGACTCTCAATTGCCCACAAGTGGACAATCTGTAATAATCTGCAGCATCTACCACAAACTTAACACTAAATTCTAGGCTACCCAATAGGAGCAATAGCAGTTTCTCATCAGGTGGGAATGCACTTATCCTATGAGCCAGCAATCCTAACTCTTAGGTACTTAACCTAAGTAAAAGGAGGATTTACATTGACAAAAAATGTTTACAGAGCCTTTATTCATAATCATCCAAAACTAGAAATACCCACTTGTTCTTCAAGTAGTGAATGGGAAACAAACTGTGGTACATCCACACAATGGCATACCACACAGCAATAACAAGGGATGAACAAAGATACCTGCATGTGCATTAGAAAGAAGCCAACGTAAAGGGCTACACATATGTGATAAAATGAGACACTCTGGAAAAGACAAACTTACAGGAATAGTAAACAGATCCAAGGTTGCCAGGGCTGGTGGTAAGGGAACTGACTTTTCATAAAACGGCATGACAGAATTTTGGAACTAAAGGGACTGTTCTGTATCTTCATTGTGGTGGTGGTGGTTATATGACTGCGTGCATTTGTCAAAACTCAGAATTGTACCCTAAAGAGGTTGAATTTTAATGTATGTAAATTATCTTTTAATTTTAAAAAATTTAGAAGCAAATAAAAGCAATTTATTCATTAAAAAAGAGGCTAGGAGGGCCGGGTGGAGTGGCTCACAGCTATAATCCCAGCACTTTGGGAGGCCGAGGCGGGCGGATCATGAGGTCAAGAGATCGAGACCATCTGGCCAACGTGGTGAAACCCTGTCTCTACTAAAAATACAAAAATTAGCTGGGCATGGTGGCACGCGCCTGTAGTCCCAGCTACTTGGGAGACTGAGGCAGGAGAATCGCTTGAACCCAAAAGGCAGAGGTTGCAGTGAGCCGCGATCGCACCACTGCACTCCAGCCTGGCGACAGAGCAAGGCTCTGTCTCAAAAAAAAAAAAAAAAAAAAAAAAAAAAACCAAAGCTAGGAAACTGATTGTCATAGATAGTGTAAACTCAACCCTAAATAATTTTTGGTATATCCACTATGCTCCTCATTGTCAACAGTAGAGATAATCACTAATCCATTTTCTGTGATTTACAAAAAACTTGGCAAATTTATTAAAAGTGATCTAATTAATTCCCCATACATTATCCATTTGTAAAAGCTGAAGTTTATGATACCATATCAAAAGGGATCTATTAAATAAATATGTTTAGTGATTTTAAGGTTGTCATAGATATCAGTCTTGAAAAACACCTAAAATCCATGCCACTGAACTCACAGCTATTCATAAAATACCTCCAGCTCTGAAGACTTAGTGGCTATCATCCAGCCCTTTCACCTCTCCCTCCTTGTAGCAATGTTATTTTGATACACATTGCACTGAATAAGAAACTTACCAACTTCTGCCAAACATTCACGTGATATTTCTTTTTTTGAGATGGAGTCTCTGTCACCCAGGTTGGAGTGCAGTGGTGCGATCTCAGCTCACTGCAACCTCCGCCTCCTGGGTTCAAGCAATTCTCATGGCTCAGCTTCTCTAGTAGCTGGAATTATAGACACGTGCCACCAGGCCTGGCTAATTTTCGTTTTTTTAGTAGAGACAGGGTTTCACCATGTTGGCCAGTCTGGTCTCAAACTTCTGACATTGAGTGATCTGCCTGCCTCAGCCTCCCAAAGTGCTGTGATTACAGGCATGAGCCACCATGCCCAGCCCACATGATATTTCATAATAATGTTTTTTATTATATTAAATTTTAAAATAAAAGCCTACCTATATTATATTCAACAGCTTACCATTTTCCATGGAAATGATCTGAAATCAAGAATTTTATAGGCAACCTGCACTTCCTGGATTAAAACCTATATATCTACAATGTTTAAAAATAAAGAAGTGAATAAAAACTATAAATCTACAATGTTTAAAAATAAAAGGAAGCCTAAGTTGTTTGCCTTAGCATTTTTATTTAAACCTAACTGGCACATTAGCTGTCATATAATTGAAGACTTCCCAATTAACCTAACATACTATTGGCAATGTCAGCTTTTTTTTTTTTAAATTTTTTTTTTTTTTTAGACAGAGTCTCACTCTGTCACCCATGCTGGAGTGAAGTGGCTCAATTTTGGCTCACTGCAACTTCCGCCTCCCAGGTTCAAGTGATTCTCCTGCCTCAGCCTCCTGAGTAACTGGGATTACAGGTATGGGCCACCATGTCTGGCTAATTTTTGTATTTTTAGTAGAGATGGGGTTTCACCATGTTGGTCAGGCTGGTCTCGAGCTCCTGACCTCATGATCCGCCCACCTCAGCCTCCCAAAGTGCTGGGATTACAGGCGTGAGCTACCGTGCCCGGCCGGCAATGTCAGCTTTAATAAATTATGTACAAATAAGCATATACTGGCAAAAAAGTAACAGGAAAATTATTCCTAGTAAATGTTAGTATTTAACTAACAGATCAGATAGAAAATGGAGTAGGAAAACATAATGGAAGTAGGCCAGGCGCGGTGGCTCACACCTGTAATCCCAGCAGTTCGGGAGGCTGAGGCGGGTGGATCACAAGGTTAAGAGATCGAGACCATCGTGGCCAACATGGTGAAACCCCATATCTACTAGAAATTCAAAAATTAACTGGGCGTGGTGGTGCGCGTGGTGGTGCACGCCTGTAGTACCAGCTACTTGGGAGGCTGAGGCAGGAGGATAGCTTGAATCTGGGAGGCGGAGGTTGCAGTGAGCCAAGATTGCGCCACTGCACTCCAGCCTGGGGACAGAGTGAGACTGCGTCTCAAAAAAAAATGATGCATAATTTCCATTTTGCACGTCTCCGAGGCTTAATAAAATGAGGCATAGAAATTCTTGAACGTATGCCAAGTAAATCCTGTTGCTTGAATATTTTTGTACCAAGCCATTTTTGTACAAATCTTCAAAGCAGATGTATTATCCTTGAACATCTATTTATATTAAAAATAATTAATAAAAAAGTTTTCTATCACCTCTTTAGTTATATGTTCACTTATAGTCACACACACACAGAGTACAGCTGGCCTCCAAATCCAAAGTTTCTGCATTTGCAGGTGCAAGCAACTGTGGATCAAAAATATTCAAATACAATTTCAAATAAAAACAAGACAACAACAAAAAATATAAATTTTAAAAATATAACTACATAGTGTTTATGTTGCACAGTATTAAATATGAGCAATCTAAAGATGATTTAAAGTATAAGAGAAGGGCCAGTGCAATGGCACACACTTGTAATCTCAGCACTTTGGGAGGCTGAGACAGGCAGATCGCCTGAGGTCAGGAGTTCGAGAACAGCATGGTCAACATGGTGAAACCTCATCTCTACTAAAAATACAAAAAGTTAGCCAGGCGTGGTGGTGCGCACCTGTAATCCCAGCTACTCAGGAGGCTTGAGTCAGGAGAATTGCTTGAAGCTGGGAGGCAGAGGTTGCAGTGAGCTGAGATTATGCCACTGCACTCCAGCCTGGGCGACAGAGCGAGGCTCCGTCTCAAAAAAAAAAGTGTAAGGGAGGATGTGCGTAGGTTATATGCAAACACTATGCCATTTTATATAACAGACTTGTGTAAGCAGATTTCGATATGAGGGTGATGGTCCTGGAACCAATCCCCCAGCCCCACATGCTGAGTGACAACTCGGTACTGTTAAGAAGAAACTTTACTAGCCCAGTGCGGTGGCTCACGCCTGTAATCCCAGCACTCTGGGAGGCTGAAGCGGGAGGATTGCTTGAGCCCAGGAGTTTGAGACCAGGCTGGACAACATGGTGAAACCCTCTCTACTAAAAATACAAAAATCAGCCAGGTGTGGTGGGATGTGCTTGAAATTCCAGCTACTTGGGAGGCTGAGGCAGAGGCTGCAGTGACCTGAGATCACAGCACTGCACTTCAGCGTGGGTGACAGAGCAAGACTGTCACCAAAAAAAGAAAAAGAAAAAGAAAAAAGAAAAAGGAAATTTTATCTGTAATGTCATCTTCCCTTGATTCTCTTCCACCAAAAAATATATAATACTAGAGAATAAAAACATTATACTAATCTAAATTAGGAAATTGATCCCTAAACCCCAATTTACAATCTCTCTGATCTTATCTATAAGGATTTCAGTTGGTAATACTTTCTCTTTCAGCATTTCCTCTCACCGTGGTTGACTTACTACATTAAAATACTAAGATAGGCTGGGCGCAGTGGCTCACACCTGTTAATCCCAGCACTTTGGGAGGACGAGGCGGGTGGATCACAGGGTCAGGAGATCGAGACCATCCTGGCCAACATGGTGAAACCCCATCTCTACTAAAAATACAAAAATTAGCTGGGCATGGTGGCACGTGCCTATAGTCCCAGCTACTCGGGAGGCTGAAACAGGGGAATCACTTGAACCCAGGAGGCAGAGGTTGCAGTGAGCTGAGATCGCACCACTGCGCTCCAGCCTGGACAACAAAGTGAGACTCTGTCTCAAAAAAAAAAAGTCTGGCCAGGCTCTGGGAAGAAACCGATTCTGGATGTGTGTGGTGCCCCTGGTCAAGTGAGGGCAGGACTGCAAAGGGAGCTCACCATCCTCACTCACTGCTTCTGTCAGCATTCCACAGGCTAGGCTCCCTGATAGACACCCTTCGACGTGTATGTTTAGATCAGCCTGACATTAAACACTGCGTAATATCCCACAGTTTAACTCTATCATAATTCACTTAATTAACAAACATAATTTTATTATTTTTTAAAAGAGCATCCTAGTAAATTTCTCCATATCTGCACAAGTATTCTTTTGGATAGACTACCAGATATGGACTTCACAGCTCAATGGTATATGAATTTCAAATTTTGGTAACTTACCGAAAACTTTACCTTCCAAAACATATCAATATATATCCTCTCTGCCCTTTACCATTAATCTATACTAGATTATTAATTTTTAAAATCTTTACTGTTAGCTGGGAGAATATGGATAAGTAAATTTAAAGTATATTCATGCGACGTAATACTATATCTGAGTTAAAATGTGTTCGGAATTGGTGGGTTCTTGGTCTCACTGACTTCAAGAATGAAGCCACGGACCCTTGCGGTGAGTGTTACAGCTTTTAAGGCGGGGCATCTGGAGTTGTTCGTTCCTCCCAGTGGGCTCGTGGTCTTGCTGGGCTCAGGAGTGAAGCTGCAGATCTTCGCGGTGAGTGTTACAGCTCATAAAAGCAGCATGGACCCAAAGAGTGAGCAGCAGCAAGATTTATCGCAAATAGCGAAAGAACAAAGCTCCCACAGTGTGGAAGGGGACCTGAGCAGGTTGCCAATGCTGGCTCGGGCAGCCTGCTTTTATTCTCTTATCTGGCCCCACCCACATCCTGCTGATTGGTAGGACCGAGTGGCCTGTTTCGTCAGGGCGCTGATTGGTGCGTTTACAATCCCTGAGCTAGATACAAAGGTTCTCCACATCCCCATCAGATTAGTTAGATACAGAGTTTCCACACCCAGGTTCTCCAAGGCCCCACTAGAGCAGCTAGATACAGAGTGTCGATTGGTGCATTCACAAACCTTGAGCTAAACTCAGGGTGCTGATTGGTGTGTTTACAAACCTTGAGCTAGATACAGAGTGCCGATTGGTGTATTTACAATCCTTGAGCTAGACATAAAGGTTCTCCACGTCCTCACCAGAGCAGCTAGATACAGAGTGTCGACTGGTGCGCTCACAAACCTTGAGCTAAACACAGGGTGCTGATTGGTGTATTTACAATCCCTGAGCTAGATATAAAGACTCTCCATGTCCCCACCAGACTCAGGAGCCCAGCTGGCTTCACCTAGTGGATCCCGCACCGGGGCTGCAGGTGGAGCTGCCTGCCAGTCCTGCCCCCTGCGCTCGCATTCCTCAGCCCTTGCGTGGTCGATGGGACTGGGCGCCGTGGAGCAGGGGGTGGTGCTCGTCGGAGGCTCGGGCCGCACAGGAGCCCATGGAGTGGGTGGGAGGCTCAGGCATGGCGGGCTGTAGGTCCCGAGCCCTGCCCCGTGGGAAGGCAGCTAAGGCCCGGTGAGAAATCGAGCGCAGCACCGGTGGGCCAGCAGTGCTGGGGGACTCAGTACACCCTCTGCAGCCACTGGCCCGGGTGCTAAGTCCCCCATTGCCTGGGGCCAGCAGGGCTGGCTGGCTGCTCCGAGTGCGGGGCCCACCAAGCCCACGCCCACCTGGAACTCCAGCTGGCCCACAAGCGCCACACGCAGCCCCGGTTCCCGCTCGTGCCTCTCCCTCCACACCTCCCTGCAAGCTGAGGGAGTGGGCTCCGGCCTTGGCCAGCCCAGAAAGGGGCTCCCACAGTGCAGTGGGGGACTGAAGGGATCCTCAAATGCCACCAAAGTGGGAGCCCAGGCAGGGGAGGTGCTGAGAGCAAGCGAGGGCTCTGAGGACTGCCAGCACGCTGTCACCTCTCAAAAGCAAATGAACTACAGCTACACATCAACATAGGCCATTCTCACAAACAATGTGGAATGAATAAAGTACACAGAATAAAGTACAATTCCAGTTACATATAGTATATACTTTTAAAACATTCCAAAATGTTGTTATGGACACATAGCCATATGTGGTGTGATGTTATGATTTTTGTCCACAGTTCTGGTTCATAACTCTCACAGCCTTGTTATGAGGCTGGGGCACTTTACACCTCAGAAAATAATCTCTCTCTTTGCCCTCCTTGCACCTGCCCAAGCCAGGACTCTAATCTGATTGTTGGGTCACAAAACCCTCATTCTGGAGAGGGAGAAAAGCAAAGGTACACTAGACAACAATTTCAGGATGGCAGATACCTCTGGTGGGGAGGCATAGGGAGTAGAAAAAGAAAGAAGAACACAGGGGCTTCAAATGTATTGGTAACATCCTAATTCTTGAAGTCTGTTTTGCTCTTGTTCTTTAAACAATCTTTAGAGACATATACATAAACACACAACTTAGTATATGCATAAGATATTTCATACTGAACAACAGCACCTCATTGTTTAAATTTTGTATTTTCCTAATCAACAATTTCTATGTTTATAAATGTTTATTAGTCATTTTTAAAAAGCTTCTGTAATCTCTGTGCTCATTTTTTTTTTTTTTGAAACAGTGTCTCACTCTGTCACCCAGGTGGATCGCAGTGGTGTGATCACAGCTCACTGCAGCCTTGACCTCCCATGCTCAAGCAATCCTCCCACCTCAGCCTCTTAAGTAGCTGAGACTACAGGCACATGTCACCATGCCCAGATAATTTTTCATTTTTTTGTAGAGTCAGAGTCTCCCTGTGTTGTCAAGGATGATCTCAAACTCCTAGGCTCAAGCGGTCCTCCCATCTTGGCCCCCCAAAGTGCTGGGATTGCAGGCGTGAGCCTGCCACATATTTTTTTCTGTTTTTTTTTTTTATTTGAATTATAGCTGTCTTTAAAGGAGTTCATATCACAAATATTTTCTCCAAATTTGTTATGTTTCTTATCAAATCTTGCTTTTATACTAATTCCAGGTAATTTATCTTTTTTTTTTTTTTTTTTTTTGAGACAGAGTCTCCCTCTGTCGCCCAGGCTGGAGTGCAATGGCGCGATCTCGGCTCACTGCACCCTCCTCCTCCGGGGTTCAAGCAATTCTCCTGCCTCAGCCTCCCGAGTAGCTGGGACTACGGACTGACGCCACCACGCCCGACTAATTTTTTGTATTTTTAGTAGAGACGGGGTTTCACCGTGTTAGCCAGGATGGTCTCGATCTCCTGACCTCGTGATTCGCCCGCCTCGGCCTCCCAAAGTGCTGGGATTACAGGCATGAGCCACCGCACCCGGCCAATTTATCTTACTTCTAAGCACAAACATGGTGTTTAATTATAACTATTATTATCTTTACTATTAATTTCTTTGGATTCCAGTAGATCAGTGCCAAGTGGCTATTCAAACCGGAAGAACTATGTATTTTCTCTTTTTTGAGACAGAGTCTTGCTCTGTCGCCCAGGCTGGAGTGCAGTGGCAGGATCTCAGCTCACTGCAAGCTCCGCCTCCCGGGTTCACGCCATTCTCCTGCCTCAGCCTCCAGAACAGCTGGGACTACAGGTGCCTGCCACAACGCCCGGCTAATTTTGTTTTTGTATTTTTAGCAGAGTCGGGGTTTCACCGTGTTAGCCAGGATGGTCTCGATCTCCTGACCTCATGATCTGCCCGCCTCGGCCTCCCAAAGTGTTGGGATTGCAGGCGTGAGCCACCGCACCCGGCCCAGAGCTATGTATTTTCTGAATGTAAATCATTCACTTAAATGCAAGCAGATAAAAGTTTATTTCTCTTCTCTGCTCCATCCCTCCGTGTCAGTCCCTTAGCTTCATCCACCTGCAAACAGTAAATGCGTTGTGTAGCATTTTAGAGTCCTTTAACCCCATC
This sequence comes from Homo sapiens, assembly GCF_000001405.40. NCBI lineage: Eukaryota > Metazoa > Chordata > Mammalia > Primates > Hominidae > Homo > Homo sapiens. The sequence continues at coordinate 32,523,531 of NC_000012.12, read as the reverse complement.
TCTTTCATCCATACCTACCATGACAGTCCTCGGTCCACCCATATACAGTTCTAGTTCTGAGGTTGTCATGTATTGCTAGCTTAAAACTACTACATTAATGAGTACAGAGTTTCAGTTGGGAAGGATGAAAAAATTCTAAAGATGGATGGTGGTGGTGGCTGTACTACAATATAAATGTATTTAATGCCACAGAACCACACACTTAAAAATATTCAAAATAGTAAATGTCATGCACATTTTACCACACTTTCAAAAACTGCAAACATTCTCTGCCATAAATTTATGCTCCCCAACCTCAGCAGCCTCTCCTTGCTTCTTCCCAGCTTGTATGCTCATGCTTAGTCAACTCTATGATAGATACTCCACTGCTTGTACTATTCCTCTCTGTTCTCTTTTTTCACTCTCTGCTCTGGGGAACAGACCCGGGAGGGGGTTTACAGCTACTCCACTATGCAGAAGATTCCAGTACCAAGTTCCCTTTTCAGTTCATGCTCTCCTTCCTAAATGTCCAGATAGCTACCTCCTTCACTGAAGAAGGGAAGATTGAACTTTATGTTGAAGGATAAGTAGGATTTCATTAGGCATCAAAAGGAGGGAAAGGATATTATTTCAGGCTTTGTAGCAAGGAAATTGGTGGCAGACTTGCAAACACTGTGGTTTACAGAAGTGTTCATCAGTGCCTGCCAAAAGCCTCAGTGGCTGCATACTGCACTTAGAACGCAATCTCAATTTCACAGAAGGCCTGAAGGCTCTACCCCTCATCTCTTGCCACTTTGCTTTCAAAATATGGTTCCTAAACCATGCTCCCTCTATCAATCACCCAAGGTTTTGAGAAGGAAGTCAAGAAAAAATGTTTTCATAAATTTCCACAGGAACCTATTATTTTTTCCAACTTTGAAATAACCATGCAGCTTCCAGAAAAGGCTCCTCTGAGACTTCAAGAAAATAAAACGTTAGTTCTGCCCCTGCCAGGTCACACAAAGGATAAAGTACAGTCAGTTACTTGCTACTAACTTGAGAGAGAAGAAGGAAGGCTTTCATTTCTCTATTTTTTGATGAGCTGCCTGATCCAAATTTCTTCTAATTATCATCTTCCTTCCCCCAAGACCCTAACGCACAGCTTGCTGGGGTAACAGCAGCAACTTGGGCCTTTTGTGTTGGCCCGAATATTCTTAAAGGCCAAATTCAGAATGTGGAAAGAAAAGATACCCTAAATATAACGAGGATCTTCCTGTCTTTTGCAAATCATCCACTCTACGTATCCACCCCCACCCACAACAGATAATGATAATCTTACACATGCAGTTTCTTTTTTAATACAATCTCAGAAGTATATTACAGTAATAATATTCCAAAGAAAAAAGAATATTAGTAGATGCAAATTTAGTCAGCTTTTAAATATCTTTGTAAGTTACTGAATTTGTGGTAGGAAATAAGGTCAAAGATAAAAAGGGAACTAATTTTTTAAAAAACAGCTCATTTCCATCATATGCACGTTTAAATGGGTACTAAATAAATTATAAATTTATTTGCTTGGAATTTTCTAATTATTATTTTGGCAATCTATATATTGTCAACTTTAGTAATCATGTTGAAACAAACAGGTCTTCGGTACTATGCTAAGGATTATAAAATACCTATATAGCCTTTAAGACACAACAGTTCATCAGTAGTGGAACTTAAATAATCTCGTATTAGTAAACAGTTCACTGTTCATGGAGTATGGCTTATCTTCATCCTCTGCACAGGATAGCAGAGGCAAATGTTATTTGCCACAAATGGGTAAGGATTCGAGTTTAAAACAGCAGAAATTAGAGTAACCTATGGCAAACTAGAAAACAATATTTTTTAAAGTAAATGCTAAAACTCAAAAACATTTAAAATCCCTTCTAAAGATGTTGTATTTGTTTATTTACAAAGAATTACTGAGCCCCATATGGGACTCAATATAGTATACAGGACACATTGTTAGGGACTTGGGAATGTTTTTTATAAAGTCCTGCCCATCAGTTCAGCCACACCAGCTTTTTCAGTTCCTGTGACGTTAAGGTCTCTACATATGACTAAGTCTAATTATTCCCTGTGGGTTGTTTCCTTTGAACATTTCTTCACAAACGTAATTAAATATTCATGCAATGTCCTTTTTTTTTTTTTTTTTTGAGACGGAGTCTCGCCGTCGCCAGGCTGGAGTGCAGTGGTGCGATCTTGGCTCACTGTAACCTCCGATTCCCTGGTTCAAGCAATTCTCCTGCCTCAGCCTCCCGAGTAGCTGGAATTAGAGGCATGCCAGCTAATTTTTGTATTTTTAGTAGAGACAGGGTTTTGCCACGTTGGCCAGGATGGTCTCGATCTCCTGACCTCGTGATCCACCCGCCTCGGACTCCCAAAGTGCTGGGATTACAGGTGTGAACCACCGCGCCCAGCCTGCAATGTCCTTTTTTCTAGAGGACAGGGACCCTGTCTGTCCTGTTCATTATTATGGCTCCCATGCACATTGTTTTCAAACACTTTATACAGTCTCATTAAATAGTTCCTTCTCGAGGAACCAAAGGGAGAGCAAACAAGTAAAATAGTAATTGACAAGTTTGGCTGAGGCTCTGTGACTGCTGGAGGTACAGAGCGGAGGGTAAGAGAAGGCTTTCTAGAATACTTTATCTCTAAACTTCTTGAGGGCACATCCCTATCAGAATAAATCCTGGGCATGCATCCCCTAGTATGCATATTCGCACACAATGTAGGTAAGAGTTAGATACAAGCATTCCTGTATTAAGATACACACTTTAAAACACAAAAATAGGCCAGGCGCGGTGGCTCATGCCTGTAATCCCAGCACTTTGGGAGGCCGAGGCGGGTGGATCACGAGGTCAGGAGATCGAGACCATCCTGGCTAACACGGTGAAACCCTATCTCTACTAAAAATACAAAAAAATTAGCCAGGCGTGGTGGTGGGCACCTGTCATCCCAGCTACTCAGGAGGCTGAGGGAGGAGAATGGCGTGAAACCGGGAAGCAGAGCTTGCAGTGAGCCAAGATTGCACCACTGCACTCCAGCCTGGGCGACAGAGCGAGACTCCATCTCTAAAAAAAAAAAACAAAAAACAAAAAAACCCACAATAGAACTTAAAATAGGGCAAGGTAGAGGTAAAAATACTATTGTTAAGAGAACAATGTGACTGAATCTGCTTGTTTTTAAAAAATCTTTTAAGGTAAATGCTAAAACTCAAAAACATTTAAAATCTCTTTAAAGCTCTTGTATTCGTTTATTTAAAAAGAAATTGTAAAATATTTCACAATACAGCAATTTGGAAGAGTAAATCTATCTCAGTTTACTTCCATACTTAGTTTCAATGACTGCCATGAAGAGAGATTCATCGTCCTAAAGGGAAGAAGTCTATCACTGGATGCACTTACTAAGTCACAATACCTATTTTTAAATACCATCTACCAGTTATACAAAGGTTTTTCTCAAAATTATTCTGGCAAATTTCCATCTATAGTAATATCTCAGAAGATATTACATTATTTTTCAAAACTTACTCTAAAACATACTAAAACTATTCAAAGATTTTTTATTTTATTTTATTTTGAGATGGAGTCTTGCTCTGTCACCCAGACTGGAGTGCAGTGGCATGATCTCAGCTCACTGTAGCCTCTGCCTCCTGGGTTCAAGTGATTCTCCTGCTTCAGCCTCCCAAGTAGATGGGACTACAAGTGCACACCACCACGCCCAGCTACTTTTTGTATTTTTTTCTTTTTTAGTAGAAACGGGGTTTCACCATCTTGGCTAGGCTGGTCTCGAACTCCTGACCTCAAGTGATCTGCCTGCCTTGGCCTCCCAAAGTGCTCGGATTACAAGAGTGAGCCACCGTGCCCAGCTTTATTTTTTTATTTTATTTTATTTTTAAGCAGAGGCAAGGTCTTGCTGTGTTGCCCAGGCTGGTCTCAAACTCCTGGCCTCAAGTGATCCTCCTGACTCAGCCTCCCAAAGTGCTGGGAGTTACATGTGTGAGCCAGTGCACCTGGCCGAAGATTTTAAAAGACAGTTAAAAAGATCTGTATGTAAGTTTGAGTGTACTTGCAGAAATAAGTTTTTTAAAAAATAAGATTTTAAAAATAAAAGATACATCCATTGTAGTGATAAAATTACACAATAATGGAACATTTCCAAACAATCATTTCAAAAATGCTCTGTCTATAGTGTACTTTTCTGCTGCTCCTGATTGCAGTTACTTTCTAACTCATTCAAATGTCACCTGTACCTCAAAGGGACAGACTGTGTTTTCCAAATATATCTGCTAAGTAAGAACCTGCTAAATATTTACTGACAGACACTTGTCTTCACATGAAAGGTTAGCAAATGGGCACATGGTGGGGGCGGCGGTGGGGAGGCTTTTTTTTTTTTTTTTTTTTTTTCCTGAGACGGAGTTTTGCTTTTGTTGCCCAGGCTGGAATGCAATGGCATGATCTTGGGCTCACTGCAACCTCTGCCTCCCTGGTTCAAGCGATTCTCCTGCCTCAGCCTCCCGAGTAGCTGGGATTACGGGCATGTGCCACCACACCCGGCTAATTTTTGTATTTTTAGTAGAGACAGAGTTTCTCCATGTTGGTCAGGCTGGTGTCGACCTCCCAACATCAGGTGATCTGCCTGCCTCGGCCTCCCAATGTGCTGGGATTACAGGCGTGAGCTGCCGTGCCTGGCCCTTGTTTTTTTTTTCTTTTGTAAAGAAAAAGATGTAGTATCTTTAGTCTCACAACTTGTTTAAATATCGTGCCATTAAATAGCTTATGATGTTTGTGGTCACTTATTACCAAGTATTGCCAGAATTCCACTATCTAAAATAACATCATCTCAGTCCACTTAACCAGCCATGCTTAAAATGCCATGGACACAAAAACAGACAAGTGAGCTTGCATTGTCCAGTCTCTGTTCTCTCCTCAGAATTCCATACATATACCATATAGATAGATGTATCTGACACATAGATGGAAAAAAATGCTAGAAAAAGGACAAAAATATTAGGAATGCCAGGGCTGGTTTTTTGTTGTTGTTTTTTGAGATGGAGTTTCACTCTTGTTGCCCAGACTGGAGTGAAATGGCGCTATGTTGGCTCACCACAACCTCCGACTACCGGGTTCAAGCGATTGTCCTGCCTCAGCCTCCCAAGTAGCTGTGATTACCGGCATGTGCCACCAGTATCGGCTAATTTTGTATTTTTAGTAGAGACGGGGTTTCTCCGTGTTGGTCAGGCTGGTCTTGAACTCCAAGGTCTAGTACCTGCTTCCTGCTCTCCAAGTGTTCATCTTTTGCACCCTGTAGGGCACACCACCCTTCATAGAACACTGCTCCATAGAAGGCATCTCCTAGAATGTAGGCAGTAGTCATGTTCCTAGACAGATAGTCTTTCACAAGAATCTTGTACATGTTGTCTACACACGTCAATCCTGAAGTTAGTCCTAAAACTTAGTAAGTCATAAAGCTGACATAAATATGCTATAGCACCAATGTTAAAACTATGATGATGGCAGAAAGTAGGCAGAATAAACAGTAAATGTTACATGCAAAAAAATACTAACGATATTGGGGGTTGGGTGGGAGGGAATCTCCAAAATGATTTCAAGTTGAATTCTTCCAAAACTTTTTTTTTTTGAGACAGGGTCTCACTCTGTCACCCAGGATGGAGTGCAGCAGCATGGTCTCGGCTCACTGCAGCCTCAACCTTTCAGGCTCAAGCAATCCTCCCACCTTAGCCTCCCAAATAGCTGGGACTACAGGCACATGCCACCATGCCAAGCTAATTTTTTTGTAGAGACAGGGTTTCACCTTGTTGCCCAGACTGGTCTCAAACTCCTGGGCTCAAGCAATTCTCCTGCCTTGGCCTCTCAAAGTTCTAGGATTACAGGAGTGAGCAGCTGTGCCTGGCCCTAAGACTAATCATATCTCCTACACATCAGTCTAGATACGAAGACTACCTAATCCTGTAGTTTGATTCTGGGACATCAACTATGATACTGAAAATTTCATTAAACTAAGGATGACATTAAATTCTAATGTAAAAGTAATGATAATTTAATAAGGATATATGTGTAAAAAATTAATCTCCATATAATAAAGACACAATTTTTTTTTAGACTTTGACCAGAAAAAAATGGCTTTAAATTATAAAATCCAGTGCTGAAGACATCATTACCTCAAGCACTCACAGTAGCAGGTAAATTGAAATGACAATTGAGAAGGCAACATGGTAATACCTGTTGCATGCCAGAAAACTGCGTATCATCCACCTGTGACGCCTGGGCAAGCTATCCTAATCAAAGAGCTATATGCATAAAGATGAATGTAATGCCATTTAAAACAGAGAACAATTAGAATTAACCTAACAGTTTAACAAAACTATTTTTATAATTATACTCTGGCACCCAAAACAAGCTCAGCTCAAAGCACAAAGAAGGCATACAAATACTTGCTGATTTGAATGTGTTAATAAAGAAGCTTCACTAAGCATCTAGGAACTTTTTGGGTACCCACTAACTATGCTAGACCTGAAATTGCCCGATTTAAATTATCATCATTTCCAGATCTACTACAGTATTACGGAGTGATATTCCTAATATTATGTCTTAGATATGTATTCATTAGATAAAATTACCATCTTAAATCAAAGTGCCAAGTTTCCCATTCTTTTCCTCATTTAAATAATAAATTAAACTTTTGGTACCTTCATAGATCAGTGGCATTTTACTGGAAAATAATTTTTATTCTTATCATTTACAAACAACTCACCTAATAACTACCCTGGGATTTTACCACATAAGCCACCATGCCTGAGATATTTATTCTGTTAAAATAAAACTTTATTCTATGTTAAATGTGAGAGTTTATGCCAAAAGTGCCAACAGACTGCTTCATCATTTGCACATTTTACAGTTTACATATGCATCAATGTAAGCATATATATTTACAACAGATAACTTGTCAGTGACACCATTACCATTATTTCTATTAATCAAGATGCTGTCTAAAAGTCCATGGATACTCAAAGTAAATAGGAAATACTGATGATACTAACCACAACTTAAAAAGGGAAGTTAGGCCAGGCATGGTGGCTCATGCCTGTAATCCCAGCACTCTGGGAGGCTGAGATAAGAGAATCGCTTGGGCCTGGGAGTTTGAGACCAGCCTGGGCAACAGAGTGGAACTCCCTCTCTATAAAAAAAATTAAAAAATTAGCCAGGCATGGTGGCGCACACCTGGAGTAATCCTCCTGCCTCAGATGCTCAGGAGTCTGAGCAGGTGAAGGCTGCAGTAAACTGACTGTGCCACTCCACTCCAGCCTGGACAACAGTGAGATCCTGTCTAAAAAGCAAAAGGGAAATTAGTTCCAGTTTGCTGCCTAATTCTAATCACCTGAAATCCCCCACCCCCCAATTGTTGTTGTTATTTTTCTCCTGGTTTCTGAGAATGGTTTTGCTTTTGGCAATTTTAGTTATTACATCATGCACTAATTTGGGATTAACAGTTTGTTATTTATTAAAATCAAGTTACTGGTTGAAGACTGGGTTCAATTTCTTCAATACGATTGTCACGTTTGTTGAAAGCTTATTTGCCTGCCCTTTTAAAAGGTGTATTGCATTCAAAACCATAGTTTTCAATTTATCCTATCTTCCTCTGTGGGATTTTGGCCCATATCCATCCCTGATCATTTTTATATTCAAAAGACACAAGTACCTACATATATCTGCAAAAATACAGTTTCCATCTGCCCATGTCTCTTTTATCACTTATGTAAAGGAGGTATAGGCAGTTCATAATTAATTCAAGAGGAAACAAGGAAATGAAGTTGTTTGAAGTGGCACAGCATGTGCAATGCTCAATGTCAGTGCAGATATCTGAAAAGAACAGGAGGGGCAGGCAGGAGAGCAGATTTTCAAGCCAAAACAAATATGTATTTTAAAATAAGATTTTGGTTTCATTTAAAAAGATTATTTATTGTTGATTGTAACTCAGCCCTACGGTCTATGATACATTTCAAATTCCTTAGTGATTCTCAAACACCTTAGGAAGTCTGCTTAAGACTCATTCTTTTCCTCATTGCTTCCATTAGGTGCTTTATCTAGCACATTCTATCTGCTGGGCTTTGTGCAATCATCTGGGAGCACAACAATGACCAGGACAAAAACCCATGACCTTCAATGGCACCCAATCTAATCAGAGAAATCTGGACAAGAATGGAGCAAGAACCACAAGATTTGAGCAGGAGCTGTGGAATTCTCCTTATTGGAGTGGGGCCCTTTCCAGAAGCAGGGACAGTGGAGCTGGAGCAAGGTGGTATAGTCCCTGTTCTAATCCCATGGTGTTGTGCCACTCCTTATCTTCCCATTGTTGAAATGGGATTGGTAATTTTAATAAGTTCCTTTAAAGTTTTCCTTTAGCCTTAGTTCTGTTCAATCTAAATGTTAGTATGGGTTCTGTGCTGAGCCAAAAGCTGGGGATATAAGGTGAGTAAAATAGTTCCTGGGGCTGGGAGTGGTGACTCAAGCCTTTAATCTCAACACTTTGGGAGGCTGAGGCAGGCAGATAGCTTGAGTCCAGGATATCAAGACCAGCCTGGGCAACATGGTGAAAACCCCATATCTACAAAAAATTAGCTAGGCATTTAGCAATATGAAATTTATTTTTGGTTAAGGTATGCATCCCTTTTAAACAAATGGATAATACATTTTCCCAACAATGTTTAGTAAACAATCTGCAATTCGGGCCATTGATTTGAGATGTCAACTTTATCTTACATTGAATTTTTATAAATACGTAAAATATATCCTTTAATAAAATACATCCTTTCTGTTAAAAAAAAAATTAGCTAGGCATGATGGTGTACACTTGTAGTCCCAGCTACACAGGAGGCTGAGGCAGGAGGATTGCTTAAGCCCAGAAGTTCGAGGCTGCAGTGAGCCACAATCACGCCACCGCACTCCAGCCTGGGAGACAGAGTGAGACCCTGTCTCAAAACAAAAACAAAAAGCTTCCTGGCCTCAGGAACACAGTCTATTTGGGGAGAGAGACAAGACAAGAGCCAACTGAAAATACGTTAATGATAGATAAAAATCATGAGGGCTTCAAGAGCTCAGAGAAGACTAACGTGGCTGAGGGAAAAGGTTTATTGGGAAAGTGGTATATAGTTGAGAAGCCCAATTAACACTGAAATACTTCCTTCTTACATTTCAAAAAAAGAAAACCAACATCTTATGGCCATTTCTTGCCTCAACATTCATACTGCTTCTGTATTGTATAACTGAAATGTCTATCACTAAACAAACTGATTGACTGGATAACATGAATATATATCCATTAGTTTTTCTAAGTTATATTGTGAGCTCAGAAGATCCCTGTTTTATTCTCTGCTTTCACCGTACAGCAAGGGTACAGTCACCTGTTGATAGGCAACAATTAATTTTAAATGGTAGAGAGGTATAGAATTTGAAGTGTGATGTATGAAGAGAAACTGGAAGTTTGCTTTGAAATATTTGATTTTCTTTTTATTGTTACACTTTACTTTTTCATAAAAGGGAAACTAATACTGTTTATCAGACTATGAATATATTGGATTTCTATGGTATTTATTTGCAAAATTGTGAAGAATACAAATTTCATACATACATTTAAACCAGTTATTATAAACCGGTGATGAGGTATTTACTGCAGTTCCTGAGGCAAACATAGGATCCAAGTCTGCTTCCCTCACAGTATTCCTTATATTAGCCAATGATGCATCATCTAGCCAACTATCCAAGCTGGAAACTTCAGAGCTGTTCCTGACACTTTCCACTCCTTTACCCCATCTACACATCCAATTAATCACTAAGTCCTGGCACTTTTACTCCTACAATTTCTCAATTCCTTCTCTCTTGTACATCCTTGTGCCAGTCTTAATTCAGAGGACTCATCATCTTTCTCCTGTACCATCTGCTCCTCATCAAAATGCTAAAGCTCCTGCACCTTGCAACCTTAGCCCCTCCTCCGCAGTTCCATCAGAGTCATCTTCCCAAAATGTATAAAGAACCATGTTGCCTGGCAGCTTAAAAATTTCAGAGAGCTCCCTCCACGGCTCACTGGATCATGTCCCACACCTGACTTACAGTTTAGACTAACATAATCTGGTGCCATTTATCTTACAGATTCCAACCATTCCACTCCTACACCTAATCCCAACACTCTAGTTAAACCAATTTCTTATATTCTAAACAACTATGATTATTTTACAGTTTTCAAGCTTTTATGTGTGCTGTTCCCTTGATATGAAATGCCCTTCACCATGTAGATCTTACCTCCTCCTAAAATCTCCAAGGTGACGTATTTCTGATTGCCTGGCCTGGCCATGAGTCCTCCCTTCTCTCTGCGCAATCACAGCACTTTGCATGTACCTTTGTACAGTATTATGACCTTGCATCATACATTGTAGTTTCTAAAGTGAGCTTACTGAAAGCAAGACTGTATCTTTATTGGCCCAGCAAAGCTTTGGACATAAACCCTTAAATGTTTAAATGAATGTCCAGGTTGCCTGGATAAGTATATAAATCTACCTAACTTTGATGTGAGGAGACTCCATTTCATCTATTCTCCACTAGAAATTTTATGCAGATACCATGCCCTTCCCTCTTTCTGCCAAGGTTTACAAACAATAAAAAGCCTTTCTGAAAGGTATTACGCCTCTGAGTAATTAAGAGAAATAGCTCTGGATGGTTGAGAATACAGGCTCTTCACTTCCATGTGGCCAAAATAACTCAATTTTTCCTACTGTTAAAACATATATGCTCCCTAGGAGAGAAAGAGGTGGGCCCTGGATCAGCCTGTCTCCAATCAACTCTGCATTTCAGGCAGGCAAGCTATTGGATTTACTGGCTGCTCACCCACCTGGGTCTTTCCAAGAGATGAAACCACTACCCTGACAATTTTCTGTGACAAGGTGGCAGTGACAAAACCTGATAGGGGCTTGGCGTGTGAGTCCCAAGTGATGTAGCACCAGAAACTGAAGGCTGAGACTAAATGAGCTCAGAGTCATGAACAAGCACTCTACTTTTTTTTTTTTTTGAGACAGAGTCTTGCTCTGTCCCCCAGGCTGGGGTGCAATGACAGGATATCAGCTCCCCGCAACCTCCATCTCCCAGGTTCAAGCGATTCTCCTGCCTCAGTCTCCCAAGTAGCTGGGATTACAGGCTCGTGCCACCATGCCCAGCTAATTTTTTAATTTTTAGTAGAGAGGGAGTTTCACTATGTTGGCCAGGCTGGTCTCAAACTCCTAACCTCAGATGATCCGCCAGCCTCAGCCTCCGAAAGTGCTGGGATTACAGGTGAGAGCCACTGCACCCGGCCACAAGCACTCTACTTCTTCGAGCCCTCAAGCCACAACTTTCAGTTTAGGATCACTCACCAGAATTTGTTTAGAAGTTGAGAAGCATCACAAAAAAGACTTCGATATACACAATCATAAAAAAGAATAATTCAAAGAAAAGCAATATTAATCATTTTATAGTAATAATTTTACATCTATTCCATTTTTTTAAATAGGGGGAAGAATCAGCTTCACACAAAATGCTAAACTGAGTTTCAATTCTAAAATCAGCTTACTCTTCGTGGAAATTTGTCTTTTTCTGAGATTAGATGAGATTGAGCACATTCCGGGTGGTATGGCTGTAGACTGTCTTTTTCTAATGAACAGAAAAAATATACCTTTAATATTGCTTTACTTAAAAAAAAGATGACCACACAACACACAGTGAGACTAAAAGTCCTTGTTCCTTTATAGTTCTGTGTAGTTTCAAAGAATTTTAATGTGTGAGTTAAATAAGTAGGTTGATTTTTATAGCACAGCTGTTAATGTACTATTACTGCCATCATTTAACATAACCACCAAAACATAAAAATCACACCAATCAGGCCGGGCGCGGTGGCTCACAACTGTAATCCCAGTACTTTGGGAGGCCGAGGCGGGCGGATCACGAAGTCAGGAGATCAAGACCATCCTGGCTAACACGGTGAAACCCCGTCTCTACTAAAAAAAATATAAAAAATTAGCTGGGCGTGGTGGTGGGCACCTGTAGTCCCAAGCTACTCTGGAGAATTGCTTGAACCTGGGAGGCGGAGCTTGTAGTGAGCCGAGATCGCGCCACTGCACTCCAGCCTGGGCAACAGAGCGAGACTCTGTCTCAAAAAATATATATATATCACACCGATCGCCCTAAAGTGTTTCTTCCCAGAATATAATTAAGCCCACAAGCAAGCAGATTTACCATGGTTGCTTCCCTTTGCTCTCTTGTTCAATCTAAGTTTTGCACCGCTTCATGCTCATCTCACTAGAGAGTGAACAAGGAAAATAAATGCCTCTGCCATTTGGCAAGCAATTTGGTTACTATCCCTCATCCATAACTGGCTGAATCCTAACTCTGCCTTAGCACCAATCATTACCTAAGCCTTAAAATAACTTCCCTCTTATAATCTAGTCCCTGCCTATCACCCTCTTCAAGATCTGGCTCAATCCTCCTGCTTAATCCCACAGACTCTGATGACTTCTATATAATTTCACACCTCTTTCATAAAAGGTACTCAGCTTGTATCATTACAGTATCTTCCCCTAACACTTAAGCACTTTAAAAAGACTCTTTCCAAAGTAAATTCTATATTCCCAACAGAACATCGGGGTTGAATACTTTTGAAGTCATTTAGTTCCACGTACCTGATAGATGAATCTTGTCTACAATATCTCTTACAAGTATCTGTCTAATTTATATTTAAATACCACCAGTGATAGGAAAATAGTTCTTGAACAGGACATTCCATGTGTAAAACAGTCTAATTACTAGGAAATTCATCCTTAAGTTCTTACTATATAATCTATAACACAAATAACATACTAGCCTGCATTGGTTACTATTACTTACAACAGGTTTATCGTCCCTACTAGATTATAATGTCTTTTTTGAGCATTTCATATTAGTTCACTTTTTTATTACAGTAAAATTCCTATAAGGTCATTGTTCATTATTTAAAATCTTCAAAAAACTTGTAAAGAACAAAACAAAAGTGATCCTAAAATCTAGAAATAACTAGTGTTATTACTAGAATTTCTAGTAATTCCCTCTAGTATTTTTATTGTTATATAAAAAGCATAATACAGCATATACAACATTATATACATTTAACATTTCATTGTGAGCATTTTCCCACATTTTGTGAAGATGTTTTAATGGTTGTATAACTTACAATCCCATGAATGCACAGTAATTTATTTAGCTATTTTCCTATTGTTGAACGTTACTAGCTTCCCACTTCTTCCCATTCCCACTAAAACACCTGATATGATGTGATAAATCATTCACTGAATCACTCAGCAACTTACTAGTGGTAGATTTCTAAAATTGGAATTATGGGTGTGAAAAACATTTTTAAAGCTATTGATAATGTAGTAGTTGTACTCTATTTGCTTATTACAGGTCAAGTGACTTCTGTGTTCCATGGCCACAGCTGACTAGCAAAGGTAATCAATGACCAAAGCTTAGCCCATTGGAGTCTCTCCAGGACATCTGTAGTTAGAACTATGTGTTTCTACTGGGCACTGGAAAGGGTATAATCTGAGATTAGAGGTGGCCACGTTTTCTGCCATTCACAGAGGGATCCTAAGAGGCCAGTGCAAACAGCGTGAGGCACACAGGCAGAGTAGTGGGGCTGACAGGTCACACACCTAGAGGAATGGAGATGTAGCTGTCCAGGGTCCAGCTCCTTGAAAGGCCTGGATGAATTTATTGCCCCTGGGTTCCATGAGACACCTTTGTGTTGTTTCTATACATCCTCTTTTCTCTTAAATTACAGGGGGATTCTATTTCTTGCAACCATGTGTTCTCTGATTAAGATAAAACCTATTTACCAAATTGTTTTCCAAAAAACTCCATCAGTTTAGAGTGTCATCTGAAGTATACAAGGGTGCCAATCCAAAATATAAGCATTTGGAAAATTTCTGCTGATATAAGCATGAATATTTTGTGTATTTCTGTGATTGCTAGTTGTACAGAATTTTTTTCATTTATTAGTCAATGGTGTCTTTTTCCTTTTTGAACCATTTATGTTCTTTGACAATGACTAACCACCTGAGGACTTCTTAAAGACATTTCTCATTAATTCTCTTTTCATCTCTTTAGAGTCTTATTTCTGTACCCTCGCTGCTACTGTGGTAGTTACGTTTCCTATATTATTATTTTGCCTAGATTAATGGAATGGCTAACTCAAAAAAAAAAAAAAAAAAGAGAATAAAAGTTAAGAACATAGAATTGAAGCCAGAACAGATCGAGGTATTTTTCCTAGTTCATCATTTAATGTTGGTGAACTTGGAAATCCTATGTACTATACCTCCTAACATTTGTATTTTTTCAATGCGGATAAATCTCTTATCTCAAATATTAGTTAAAGATTAGATGGATGATGAATATACTTTGCAGTCTCTGACATATAGAAAACACCAAAAGTTGGTATATATTGCAATTAGAGTAGTTGCATCTTAACTTGCTTCAAAGTGAACTATATACACTTTGCAGATACAGAAAACAGCTGTGTGTGATAGTGTGTGCGCACGCACCCAAACACAGGTGCAATAGTTTAAGTTGTTCAGGCAATCTGACCCAATGCTCATGTGCTCTGTAGTGGGAATAAGACAGACAGAAATCATGAACCTGCTGCTCCTGCAATTCCTCTTGGTTCACATGAGTCACTTGGTGACTCTCAAAGTGTGAGGTCTCAGCACACTGAGCTGAATTCTAGGACTCTATTTCATATAGCATGACCTCTAAATGCAAGCAAAGTAATTATTATATCTCATGCTCAACTCAAGAAGCAGCAATCTCTTCTAACGCTAAAAAAACACACATGCAGTGTTGGACTTAACAAGAAGAGAGTTGATCTACAAAGCTATGCCTTCCTAAGGGACTTTTCAAGAGCTTTTTTGACTTCATCCAAGTTTTGCTTTCTGTGCTGGCTTTAGAATCTAAATATCAAGAATAAGATATGACAACTATATTGTGGTGGTGATAATAAAAGAAAAAGTCTACTTGCTGTGGATGAAAAAGATAAAGAAGAGAATTCCAGCTGCCTTGGAGATTGTTCCCTCCCATATTTCCATCATTTAAACTGCCAGTTATCTTTTCAGACTATAAAACTGAAGATCTATTCCCAAATGTTTTAAAACTATTCAAACATTCCTCATTCTTTACAGGATACAGTAAAAACTTCTGTGCAAGGCAATATCTCCACTTGCATATCCTGCCCTGCCTTAGCCCAAAGACTGCACTTCCTGGCCCATCATATCTCCTTGCTTTAGCATCCTCAGATCAGAATTCCCAGCTGCACCTCACGTGCACAGCCGAGGAACCCCTCCCCTCTGTACCCTTCATCCCTCCTCTGCTATGTCAATCACACTGAATGCAAATGATACTCTTAGCTGAGCACGGTGTGAGTGCAGAGCATGTCCTGGTACTGCTCTTCACCCAGAATCTAGCAAGGGCAGAGTGAACACCAAGAAAGGATTTGTTGAATACATGAATCTGAGGGCTAATAGTCCTACCAAGCTTTCACTACTAAGAGTAGCAAATATTTCAACATTCAGGGATTATTACTGATGCCCCTAAGAGAACATCACATTAATCCCCATCATTGTCAGCACAACTTGAATTTTTGAACACAACTTCCTTAATACCCAGGATAACCCCACAAGTTCTAACAAATGGGGAAGATGAGGTTTAAGGAAGTTAAGTGACTGGCCTAGAGACATCCAGGTAGCTAGTATGAGAGACTAGGCTAGCCCCAGGTCTGCTCAACTTTAAAACTGCTGCTCTTAACCACTGGTAAATGCGTTCCCATGCTCTCCCAATAAACTGTGACTTTGAAAAAGAACACACATTCGGGATTAAGTCCTGAAAGAGAAGTAACGATAACATGCAATGTGGCTTTGTAGCACTCACTTAACATGATTTTTATACGATACTGACGATTGGCTTTCCTCTATTTCTACCTCCATAAATTGAGGATAACAGCAACACACTTTCACTGCACCAGATTACACGTGGCTGGCTCCTTATCATTTGTGTCTCAGCTTATATGGGACTGCCCTAGATAAACATCTGCTGGTTACCCAATCTAAAGTTTGCCAACCCAAATGTCCAACAATGATAGACTGGATTAAGAAAATGTGGCACATATACACCATGGAATACTATGCAGCCATAAAAAATGACAAGTTCATGTCCTTTGTAGGGACATGGATGAAATTGGAAATCATCATTCTCAGTAAACTATCGCAAGGACAAAAAACCAAACACCGCATGTTCTCACTCATAGATGGGAATTGAA
This sequence comes from Homo sapiens, assembly GCF_000001405.40. NCBI lineage: Eukaryota > Metazoa > Chordata > Mammalia > Primates > Hominidae > Homo > Homo sapiens. The sequence continues at coordinate 32,507,145 of NC_000012.12, read as the reverse complement.
CAATGAGAACACATGGACACAGGAAGGGGAACATCACACTCTGGGGACTGTTGTGGGGTGGGGGGAGGGGGGAGGGATAGCTTTAGGAGATATACCTAATGCTAAATGACGAGTTAATGGGTGCAGCACACCAGCATGACACATGTATACATATGTAACTAACCTGCACGTTGTGCACATGTGCCCTAAAACTTAAAGTATAATAATAAAAAATAAATAAAAATAAAGTTTGCCACCCTCAACTCCCTCTTTAACATAGCCCATTTTGTCATCACATACCTGCCACTATTTGAAATTATGTTGTTTACTTATCTCTTTACTTTTGTATTCTGTCTCTTCCCACTACTAGGTAAATTTCACTAACATCTTGCCCATTGTGCTCAATGCCATATCCTCCACATCGCAATAGGAATGGCATAGAGTAAATGTGCAAGAAATATCTGATGAATGAATGCAACGTTAACAATGAAGACAGTGAATGTCTCCTTAGGGGGTGGGGTGGTCCTGGGCAAGGAGGTGCCTGTGGGTTGGTGCAGGGAGCAGAAGAAAGGGAGATTAAGTATGCAAGTGCGGGTCGTATACCTGTGGAAAGGCCCACAGGAAAGTTGTACTAACCCACAACAGGAATGCTAGATGCTGCCCAGGTGACAGATATGTCCTAGAGTGGACCATAGTCGTTCCTCAGGCTCCTCCCTCCCCCACCTGCTTTGGGATCCACAGTGACTAGGCAGCACTCTGATCATTTTACTTCACATATAGATAGGGCTAGAAGGGAGAATGCCTGCAAGCTGAGAAACATATGCATCCAATTGGCTTGGCAGTTAATGTTTTTTAAAAGCTTGGTATTTATAATGACAAACTGTTTCTTATGACTTTGATTATGGAGAAAATCATCTTTCAAAGGTGTATTCCACCTAGGCATACTGAAAATTTCATCTGTGGGATTTTAGGGTAACACCCCAATGTTGTGCTCCTCTTAAAGACAACAGTGTAGGATGTTAAGCTGATCTTGCCCTACGTGTTTGCATTCAACATGCAATGCCCAACATTAGCTGTTTCTGTAACTCACAGGTTTCCTGACCTTGGAAAAGCTGCTTAATCTTTATGGGCCTCAGGTTCTTCTTTAAAATGAGGGCATTAAAAAGCAGACAATCCTGTTTAGATTGGGACCTTAAATTATGTGAAAATAAACATCTAGGGATGTATAACAGGAATCTAAAAATATACAAGAGATTCAGTCTGTTTGCCTTATGCGAACATACTACGTCTCACAATTTCATTAATCTGAGTTCAGGACGAGTAAACTGGTAAAAATAAAAAAAACACAGGATTTAGGCAGACAAGGAAGGAAGGAACTATTACTTACACAGGAAGTCAGTAAATTCAACAGGTTTGTTACAAAAGAACAATTAGCCGTACAGAGCCGTGGTTATTTGTAAAACGTGGAACTTTTCTAAGAATAAGGTATGCTAGGCGCCCTCATGTAACTCCATCAAGCTATTTCTGGGGTTAAAGTGCAAGCAACTGAGCAAGAAAAGGTTAAGTCCATACAGAAATGGTTCCAACAATCTACATCAACCTGCATAGACCCACTCATTGCCAATTTATGAAAAGTTTGCCTTTTTATTTTACAGAAACTCAAGAGCAGTTATAAAAACAGAAGACGATGACAACTCAGAAGAAACAGCTGCCGATACTCAAATCAATTGGCACACATATAGAGAAAAAGCCTGCCAAATGAAACCAGCTTTGAGCTATAGCTTTTGTGTAAGTTCACATCGTTCACACGCATGCTTTCCAGGCTCCTCATCCTGTAAATGTATATCTAACACAGCAATGCAAAATTGTGCTGATGCATACAATTAACTCATTCCAAGCATTTCTTGCACCCATGGTAATATGGCATTGTGGGAGAAAGCAAGAGGGCAATTTTCAGTACATCTATTTCTCAAAATTGTGAAAAATGCGAACAGATTCAACCCCAAGGACATGTGAACATAGCAGCATTAGCAATGACAGCATCTGCAGGTGCTGTTCCACTTCAGATCCCTAGTATTCCATCATCTCAGACAGCTCAAGGGCCAAATGGACCACAATGGCCAAAAATACTTAACTTCAAAAAATGGATTATAAATCTGTACCTCAAAAGCAAAGAAACTGAAGGACTCAATTTAGGCTAGGCAGAATGAATGTGTCCACAAAACATAGTATGAAAAACTAAGAAATTTAATCGCCATTAATTAGGTCTAGAGTCTACATGTTTGAATTTGTTATGTCAGGCAACATTCCGGCATAATGTGTCAAAGGAAGGAGCAGAAAGACTTGACTGCGTATGCTGAACTAATGCTGGTTGATTTGCTGCCTACTCAATGTTCATGGATTTGAATCACTCTAAGCACTTTGTTCAAAGTTTCATATTGTCATCTACATAATCCTTTTACATGAAATAACCAAATAAGGTTAGTTTTACATATTTACAAGCATAAATACAAGCTTGTCAGTAAGGTCTTAAGTTGTATTGAAGAATTGAAAAGCATCAAGCCCTCAGACAGTTGGAAAAGTTGGAAGAAACCACAGACACCTCAGACATCTAGCACCTCTCTTCACCCCCACAAGTAAGGATGGTGAGAATCAGAAAGCATTGCTTCATAGTGGACACGCGAATTCAGTACATTCTAAATCCTAAATTCCCTACTATAAGAAGCTGTGTGCATGGTGGCAGGTCTCACTGCTGACAGTGTTGTGCATGGAAGTGGACATCTCACCAGGTCCTTCATGTGCAGGACAGTCTTATGACCATGCACTCCTGTCCCGTAGGTACCCTAGTTGGGATCACAGATGCTCCAGGGACTGTCCCTGCTGCCCACTCTTCACCTATTTCTGTGAAGGGTTACCCTCAAGAACCACTAAGTTTCTTGTTAGTGGTGGATTGGACAAAGCTTTTTAAAAAACATTTTGAAAAACCTGTGGTTTTATTACTTATTACTCTGGAAATTTGGTCAATGCAACACGCTTACACTTGAAAATATATACATGCCTGCCAATACTCAAAATGCTGGGTCTAACATTAACATCCAATTAAAAACACAATCTTAAAACTTTAACTCAATAACAAAAAGAAAAGAGTAAGTAAATTCACCAACACTAGGAACTTGAGAAGTGTACGGATTTATCTAGCCTACCCCAATGCTCTGGGTAACTACATCCCAAGTACACGGATGCCACACACTTCAGACCCATTCACTCACAGCCTTTTTCTGGATTCTAAGATAATGGTAATTAAAGCAACATGAACACATAATCATACATGAGGCTTTCAAATTACCTATTTTCCTCCCAAACCTTATATTGCTTATGAAAGACTGACATTTATGGGTGAAAAAAATTATCCCAATACTATTACATTGGCTTGAAAATTTTTAGATTATGCTAAGGAAATTTTCAGGCAGACATATATCTACTATTATTAAAAGATGCTTCTTAGAGCTAGTATGTAGCTAAACTAATTTTGTACCTTAAGAAAAAAACTTTTAAAAAGTAATAATAATGATGTACAAACACCAGTAAGCACAAAAGAGGGTAAGATTTTAAAGTCAACTACAATTAACACCAAGAACTCACAACTGTCTGGCCTAAAAACCTGTTCTTGAAGTAAGAACATGAGTCCTTGACTAATATGAGGTTATCTAATTTTACATTATCATTTTAAAAAGAAAATGAAACAATTAGGGCCTATTAGCAATAACCTTTTCTAACTCTCTGGGCAGCCACTGGCACAAATGTCCAAGATGACAGCAGCACAGCACAATCAGAAAGACTGAACCTGCATGAGCCAAGGCTTTCCTTGCAACCTTTCCTCTATCAAGTAAAAATGGCAGACCCAGTTAGACTCACAGAGCACTGGCCCTATGGTTTCAATGATAAAAAAACAAAAAAAACTTACACAAAAGAAGTATCCAGACTATAGACAGCACTCTTTTTGTTTTTTCACATTTATATTTTAGGGCACAGTTTTGGGGAAGGGGATACAATGCTGCCTTACAAAGGACATAGAAGTCCCTTGTTTGAGCTACCAACCTCTTAGCCACACAGAAAAATGTCAGTCATCCATTTGTTAGGACCCAAATCTCCTTCTACTGCTCACAATATGCAACACACATTTTAAGGGGCTGTTGAAATAGAAAAACAAAGGAAGCCCTTGAAATAGAAGCTGATCTTCCTTGTCTTGCCCTTCCTTTACCACGGTGCCTGCATGCATGCCTTAAAGCACTGCCACATTGTTTCCACATGCTCAGGCCCTTGAAACTTGTGCCAAAGCATTGCAAAATAAAACTGCATAAACATCACATTTCAAAACATCAGCTAGTAATGGTGGGTCAGTCATGTGGGCCAGAATAATCATTAATTAAATCATAACCTACAAACGTCCCTGACCCGAGTTATTTTTTCAAATAATAAGGACAGGCATTGAACACGTTTGGGGCCATGGGCGTATTTCAGAAAGAATACCAGTGTAATTCATTCTGAAAAACCATTAAAAATGACTGTCCTTTTGCCACTTTCAGGAGTCATAAAACAATTTCACAAGCAGAAAACAGTTTAAAAGATTAAATTTTTTTTCATTTTCCAAAATCAACATGTAATTGCATAGGCATTATTGAACTGCATAAAATCAATACAAGAGAAGTGTATGACGCTGGAGGTTTCTTTAAAAAGAGCTTAGAGCTCACTTTCCTTGGACCACATGGAGATAATGCCCCCACACAAACGTACTACAAACTGGATACATATTACTAGGGTTACTTACCTTATAAAAGCTGAATTTATTCCTCTTGGCCAGAAGTCACAAATGGTTGAAGTAAAACTCCCTTCATTTGTTCTTCCAGCGAGCCAAAGCAAGCCTCCCATTAACCCGGTCCATTGCAGATAATCTCACCCAGCACAGGCTCCCCTGCTTTCCCCACTTCCCAGCCCAGCAAGGATAATCACATTCCGGTGGGGAGTGAACAGATGGTGGATTCCATGGTAACCAGCCCTCCTAAGGCGATTGGTAGAAGTGTGTGACTACTGCTTATTGGGTAACAATCGCTGTCTTTGTGCTCCAGCCTTGCAAATCCTAAAGGAAGGAACATATATAGCCACTCACATGCGCAGGGCTTGCCTAGCAGGTGTTTGGCTATTTAAACAAGCCAGTGCAGCCCAACTAAAAGCTTTCCAGCAAATTTACCCTTGGTGGTACAAACTCCTGACATTTCAGATAGCTAACTCTGCTCATTCAGGGAGAAAGGTCACAAGAGGCTTGACTTGACAAACAGAAAATAAAACCTCAAAGTTAACTTGAAAACTAAAGATAAAGCATTCTAGAAATCTAAGCTTCATCAGCAAGTTGTTTTATGATTTGCAATCCACATCAGAACTGAAACTGCTTTTATAAGGATTTTTTAAAACAAATATAATACTCAAATTTGGAAAAAATGTTAGTTTGAAAATAAAGTTTTCAAAAATCAATTGTGTTATAAAATAATAATTTCTGGGCAAACATACATTCATTTTTACCGTGTTAATTGAACTTTGTGGGGAGAGGCGGTGCTGGATTTAAAATTTTCATCTAGAGTCTTACCCAGTTACAGGATTAAAATATCTTAATTTTATACTATGTACTGAGTTTAATCTGTTTCACCATGTGAAGGTTAAATACTGATTCTGCAGGAACAGTTGCCCACACCCTGGTCCTCATGAAGGAATCAGAGGTTAAGTCCTTGGAAGATAAAATTGGCTGAAAACCAAATATACCACATAAAAACCAACTATTAGAGGTAAACTATAAATCTAGAAAATATAAACTATAGGCACTCAAAATGTCCATTATTGACACCAGCCTGAGCAACACAGTGAGACCCTATCTCCACAGAAAATTTTTTTAAAAATTAGCCAGGTGTGGTGGTGCGCACCTGTAGTCCCAGCTACACAGAAGGCTGAAGTGGGAGGATTGCTTGGGCCCAGGAGGCCAAGGCTGTAGTAAGCCATGACTGCATCACTGTATTTCAGCCTGGGCTGACTTCCCTGAGCTCTCTAGGCAGAGTCTGACATTTTTGTTCTCTCCTCTACACTTTCTCAATAAGTTGGACACTGATGGTGTTTACCACAGGGCACAGTTATTTGTACACATCTCTCCTTCAGACTGTGAGCACCTCAAGACCAGGGACAGTGCCACTGTGAACCCTGTGTCAACAGCAAGCCAAGGTCCTTGAACATAGTGTGAATTTAGTAAATCTGATGAATGACTAAAGACTGTTTTAAAATTCTAGTGCAAATTTAGAAGTACCTAAGAATCCAGAATTAGAAGAATGGTGATGCAAATATTAATGTATACACAACTGACACACTATCATGCAGTTATTAAAATATGGTCATGGCCAGGCACAGTGGGTCACGCCTGTAATCCCAGCACTTTGGGAGGCTGAGGCAGGTGGATCACAAGGTCAGGATCTCGAAACCATCCTGGCTAACACGGTGAAATCCCGTCTCTACTAAAAATACAAAAATTAGCCGGGCATGGTGGCGGGCGCCTGTAGTCCCAGCTACTAGGGAGGCTGAGGCAGGAGAATCTCTTGAACCTGGGAGGCGGAGGTTGCAATGAGCCAAGATTGCGCCACTGCACTCCAGCCTGGGTAACAGAGTGAGACTTCGTCTCAAAATAAAATAAAATAAAATAAAATAAAATAAAATAAAATAAAATAAAATAAAATAAAAATAAAATAAAATAAGGTCAGAAAGACTATGTGGCAAAGGGGAAATGTTTCTATTAACAAGTACTGTTTACTGGTCCCTAGTATGTGCTAGACACTATAATAAACACTTTACAAATATTTCATATAAACCTCACAGGGCCTATGAAGTAGGTATTATTATCTTCATTTTTTAGGTATAGAGCTGAGATTCAGAACTTATGCTCTTTGCCCTTGGTCTCACCGTTGGAACGAGAACCTCATTTGTCTGAGACCAAAGCTTGGATCTAAGTCATTGCGCTACACCACCTCCCAGAAGTGGGAGGAAAAACAGAATACAAAACTGAATACCCACTACGAATAAACAGTATGCATTTGCAATGATATACAAGATTTTTTTGTTTTTTTCTTGGAGATAGGGTCTCACTTTGTCACCCATGCTCACGATCTTGGCTCACTGCAGCCTCAACCTTTCAGGCTCAAGCAATCCTCCTGCCTCAGCCCCTCAAGTAGTTGGGACTACAGGCATGTGCCACCACACCCAGCTAATTTTTTTGTATTTTTAGTACAGACGGAGTTTCGCCATGCTGGCAGAGGTGGTCTCGAACTCCTGAGCTCAAGTGATCCACCTGCCTCAGCCTCCCAAAATGTTGGGATTACAGGCATGAGCCACCTTGCCCGGCAGAGAAGAGATTCTCAGGAACAAAAGGCCAGGCTTACCTAGGCTTCAGAATTTTCAGAGTACCTGTGAGGAAGAAATATTGGACTTATTTTCTTTCTCCAGTTTCCAAATTATAACTTTATAATCTTCTAAAAATATATTTACTCCTCTTATACATATTTTTTAATGTTCACTCCACCATGTTCTTGGGAAGATCTACAAACAAGTGAGACAATAAAAAAACTAAAAAGAATTGGCTCACAGTTTTTAGAGAATTGACTCCATGGGAAAAAATGACTCAGACAAGAAAAATAAAGGCAGATCTATGAAAGGTGAGTAAGGAATAGTAATGTCCTCTGGAGCTCCAAGTTCACCTCCAAGTGTTCTGATATTGTCTTCATTATAGTATCCCCTCAAACCACACTGCCCGGAATCTAATTATAGGGCCTGAAACCTAAGTGGTAGGGCATGTGACCAACAGTCAACAATCCCCATAAAGGTTCTTAAGATAAAACCGCTTTGGAAGCAGGAGCCTGATAATTTATCTTCCTCAAATACTGCGCAGGCGGCAACTTTGCCTTGAATATCTGCTGTTGCAGCCATTGTGCCAGCTAGGCAGAGATGGAATAACCTTGGGAATGTTGTTCCATTTCCCTTCGCAGCTGAATATGCCTAATTCCATTTGCCGTTACTCCTCCTTTCTCTTTCCTTTTGTAAGAGGTTTTACCCAGGCAGTCAGAGGTTCCCAAACTTTTCAAATCTGAGCATCTCTGTAACTTCTGCACAGTGCCCCGGGGCAGGAGCAATTCCTTAGAGTTCCATTGATTAAGTGGTTTGGTACAAAAAAACTAATAACTGTTGGGTGTGGTGGCTCACGCCTGTAATCCCAGCACTTTGGGAGGCCAAGGCAGGCGGATCACGAGGTCAGGAGTTCGAGACCAGCCTGACCAACATGGTGAAACCCTGTCTCTACTAAAAATACAAAAATTAGCTGGGCATGGTGGTGTGCGCCTGTGGTCCAAGTATTTGGGAGGCTGAAGTGGGAGAATCGCTTGAACCCAGGAGGCAGTGGTTGCAGTAAGCCAAGATCGCATCACTGCACTCCAGCCTGGGCGACAGAGACTCTGTCTCAAACAAACAAACAAACAAACAAACAAAAAACCAATAACTACCTTTGACCCAGCAATTTAGCACCATTTGAGAATATAACAAATAATTATTTCAAGAAAAAATAGTATTTTTATTCTATTCTTAAATCACTCCCACTACTTACTAATGGGATGTGGGTGTACCCTGCCAACCTCTCATACCATAGGATCCTACTAAATATCACAAACCTCATTTCCTCTCCCACTTTCATTTTCACCAGCTTGTTATCACAGTACCCACCAAACCCTCGACTTTGCAAAAATATGCCTCTATCAATAGAAATATACTGCAATCAAATATTTTTTAAAAGGGAACTGTCTAGAGGTAGGAGTTTGCATAGTATTTGATAGATGTTGCCATTTTTCCCTTGAAATTTTTAAATACTCTGCAGACAGCACCCCTGTGAGTTGGCAGTGATACCCAAAGCGCCTAGGCACATATTTTGGGAGTTATGTGTTTAAGCCCTTAGCCTCTACAAAGTCCAACGACAACTCCCTAATTATAAATTCAGAAACCTAGACTCTAGTTCCTGTTTAGCCAGCCCTATGACACAGGCAAGCCATTTACTCTGTCTGGTCCTGTGCTCTTCAGTCACAAAAGGAGGATGCTGGCTTAGAGCATCTCCAAAGGTCTCTTCAGCTCTAAAATTATGAGAATAAACGTTAGAGGAGAGTCTCACTGAGTCGAGAAGAAGAAAAAAGGCTGAAGTAGCAAAGACAAGAAACATTTATTTTCCAGAAGGAAACAGCATATTAAAATTTAAAATAACATACATCTGCGTACTACCCTTACGTGTGGCATGACTGAAAGGCTCGAGCAGGAGGTATTGTTCAAGTACCAGTTGAAATGGCAATTGTACCTGCACAACGGCACACAATTTAGGATGTACTTTTAGTAAAAATGCCAGGAGCTCTGCTACTGGTTTTACTTGTATTTCCATGTTCTCTTTCCGTGCTTTCCGAAACTCCTTCTTGACAAATGGTTTGTATTATAAATTGACCAGATATTGTTAGCGGTGCCTGTGACTATGAAACAGACTCAAATTACCTCTCCTAATCGGGGATCAAACATATCAGTGAACCCAAAAAGCCTAAACAGCAGAGCTAACCATTGAAACCACAAAATACAGTATCTATAAAGAGGTGGTATCTCCTTAGATATTTTCTATATATTACCAATAATTTTGCATTTTTGGTTAATATTCTATGAAACTTTTTGTTTTAATTTAATGGGGTTTTTATAATTCGTTTCATGAAAGTGATTTAGAGCAAAAATGTATTTGCAGGGTACAGAGTACTTTATAAGGAAGATAAAATGCATTGAAATATTAATAAATTGAACTTTTCTGCCCAGTTTGCAAGGGGTTAAGGTTAAGAATCTAAAGCCTAATTTGATGGAAACTTTTTTAGTGGCCCATCATTCCTCTCATGTGGTTAGCATTTCAGAGAAGTACTTGTTGTTCCAGGACTTGCCCAAGTATACACTGCCAAAAAAACAACCAACATTGACTAGGAAAGTCTATGTGAGGAGGTCTTATATTTTTAGCCCTTTTCTATTCAAGTCCAACCATCAAAAAACTCACCCAGATCTACCAATGCCCCAGGGATATTTTCAATTAAAATTTGAAAGATAATTGTGTCTTAGTCAAATAAGAATAATGAGATTTAGTTATTCACATCATTAGATTGTTTGTTACTGTTTTCATTACAGTAATATTCCCTATCCTTCCAAATCCTTAATATCGATTCTAAAACAAAGGTGGGAGGAAATTACACAAGCACCTAGGCCCTGCCTTCCACACTCTTAATTCTTATCCATATTTTTTTTCAAAAAGTGATTCATAGATAATTGGAATCTAGATATTTTAATTCTTCTTTCCTTAAGAAAATTTCTGAAATATATGAAAGTGAAGACTCTACAAGGACATATGTAGGACATATGTATATTTATGTTTATGTATTAATTACATTAACAAATCTAAAATACGTGTGGAGTGTAAAATAGGAAAAGGGCTAATAATAAACAATGTTCTATAAATGAGACTTCTATAATATGCAAAGTTCCATTCTAAACTCCACAGACAATAAAAGCATATGCTACCCCTTTTTCTTGATGAGTTTTTGATATGTATAAGAAATAAAGACTTTTAACTCTTGTTGTAGGGGGTTGGGGAGAGGAGCTAACAAGATAAAATAGATGTATAGTACCAGGTAAACAGCAAAGATACATCACACAGACATTCTGCAAAAGCTAATAAATTATCAACATTATGAACCTTCTCTTCGTATTTTTGGTCTGAGATCAGGCCAGAATAAAAACTATGATAATTCAAGTTTTGTGCTGATAAAACCCGATGCTGAATGGTTAATCCTTGCTGCTCAAAAAATATCCTAAAGGACCAAAGCATGCAAACAACTATAGCTTTAGGTCAAAGTTAAACAAAAACTGTTTCACTCAAGTTCTACAGGGTTGCATTTTTGAAGAGACAAAGCAAATTCAGCAAAAATGTAATGATCAGTTGAATGTTTATTGTTGATACCAGGGATTTATTTATGACCTCTCATCTGATCTTTTAAAATCAATCCTAACTTTACTTTTCTACCCCAAGCCCAAACCCCAGAAAGAATAAAGTATTAAAAAGAGAGGGTGGCCAAGGTTTGTGGGCAAGGGTCCCTTGAGACTAGGACTGGGGTGTATCTAATTATGACATTTGAAGGTAACTGAATTTGAGGTTTTGTGTGCAGCAAGGCTGTGTATGCACGGTAGGTGAAGCATGTGTGCACACATGCACGCACACAAATAGATATGCAGCAGTGATATGCAAGGCGGGTGAGATCAATGTGTGTGTGCAGGAGGATATGGAAGGAGGTAGTGGAGGGGATTCTGAAAAGCTTCTTTTTTTTTTTTTTTTTGAAACAGAGTCTCTCTCTGTGGCCCAGGCTGGAGTGCAGTGGTGCGATCTCGGCTCACTGCAAGCTCTGCCTCCCGGGCTCACAACATTCTCCTGCCTCAGCCTCCCAAGTAGCTGGGACTACAGGTGCCCGCCACCACGCCTGGCTAATTTTCTGTATTTTTTAGTAGAGACGGGTTTCGCTGTGTTAGCCAGGATGGTCTCGATCTCCTGACCTCGTGATCTGCCCGCCTCAGCCTCCCAAAGTGCTGGGATTACAGGCGTGAGCCACCGTGCCCAGCCCTGAAAAGCAATCTGCCCTGCAAGTTTTACCTCATAAATGCCCTGGGTTCTTTTCTAAGATAACCAAAGCATAACCAGTGAAATATGGGGCGAATCATGATTAGTTAATGCTGTGAATATAGGTTCACAAACTCTGGGCTAGGTAGAGTATGTGACAAAACAACTTGTTAGCAGGGTGATTTCTAAGCCACAATCTCTGAGCTTTGAGGCCTTCCTCTAAGAAATAAACAGGCATAATATTTGGTACCATCCTCTCAGGAAGATCAATGAGATCATGCAGGTGAAACCTCTTTGAATATCTGGAAACTATGCAGCTGTAAGAAGTATTAAACATGTTTAAAAATGGGGGTGGGGGCAACTGTTAATTCTGTGAAGACAGAATGACAAACAATTGACTTCCTGACATGAAAAAACAAGAACACAGAAGCCTCTTACAAAAAAACCTCTTGGCTCCACTCACATTACTGTCAAGCTGTCTATGCTCATTCCTTTCTTGCTCTTTCATGCTTCTCAAAAGGGTGGGAGGTCTAGTCACTTCTCACCTCTTATTCACTCCTCAGCCACATCTGTCAGACCAAGCACTCAACTGGCACTGCTCCCAGTAAGGCCAGCAGTGACATCTCAGCTCCAAACCCACAGGTTGGGTTCAGTTCTTGCATCCTGGGCCCTCTTGGGTGCCAACCATGCCCTCTTTCTTGACCTTTCCTCCCTGGCCTTCTCACAACCAACTCTCCTGATTCTCTAGGACTCTGAACACTTAAGCAACTCTGTGTCCTGCTGTCTCCTCCATCACATCCAATCAATCAGGTAAGATCAATAAATGTTCACTGAACAGATGTTCATAAAAACAGGTATCACCAGTAAATGTGTTTAGGTATTACTGCACAGCAATTCACTTTTAAAATATAAAATTATCAGTTCAGACATGGAATCCCACTGAATGGCTAGAAGCTCTTAATCTCTGTAAATAAGAAAGCAAACTAAATAATATTTTACTGATTATACGGCTGGAGGTGGGTAAAAGACCTCACCATCCCTCATAAATTGGTCCATTGAACAGCTGTGTAGGTATTTTAACAGTTCTTTGCGAAATCCCAGCACCTCTGGGAGGCCAAGGAGGGAGAAATGCAAGACCAGAGTTCAAGACTAGCCTGGACAACATAGCGAGATCTCATCTCTACAAAAATAAAATAAAATAAAATTAAAAAGTTAGCTGGGTGTGGTGGCACACACCTGTAGTCCTAGCTACTCGCAAGGTTGAGGCAGGAGGATTGCCTGAGCACAGGAATTTGAAGCTGCATTGATCACACCACTGCACTCCAGCCTGGGCAACATAGCTAGATCAACTCTTAGAAAACACTTCCCTGACGAAGTTTGACTACAAAAGCTCATTCCTGCCTCAGACCCTTTACATCTGCAGTTCCCTCTACCTAAGACATTTTCTTCCAGATCTTCCTCTTGTTTCTACAGTGCACTTCATTCAAATCTGCTGAACGCCACTTCCTCAGGTGAGTGTTTCCTTCCCCACCACCCTATCGAAAATAGGAGTACTATTCCTACCTCTGTCACTTTCTATCTATTCCAATGGCTTGTTTGTTGTTTAAGGTATCACTGCCCAACATTATATTGAACGTTTCTTTTTCACTCACTTTAATTTCTGGCTCCTACCTTAAAAGGTAAAATCCATAAGGACAGGGGGCTTTGTCTTGTTTACCAAGAAATCTCCAGTGTCTGGCATGCAGTAGGTGCTCATTAAATCTTTGCTGAAAGAACAAATAAAAAACGGCTAGGCATGAAGATAACGCTAAGCCTGGGCTACACCACTGTTGGTTATTCAGGAAGTAACCGTGCACCTGGGTCACTGACACATCTGAGCTAATGGAGTGGAGGTGGGTGGCAAGTGTCTGAAGCAGGTCAAGCAGCAAGAATGCTTTCTAGTCCTGATGAGCTGCCAGGCAGTAAGCCTGTGTCTCAGGACTAATGACCCTGGCTCATCAGATTACCACACCTTCTCCAGGACAACAGAGTAGGGCTCAAAGGAAAGTGGCGTGACAGCCTGGGAAACAATGAGGACCCTGCAGAGGTCACTGACTTTCTCCATGCTTTCTGAAGAAACTTGAAAGAGAAGTCCATTCTTAGCAAAACTGGAAATCAGGTGAAACATTTAAAAAACTAAGGAAAAGAAAACAAAACAAAAACCCTTTTTTCTGTATCTCCCTATTTCTCTGCTATATTGCCAGGTAGCTGGACGGTGACTGCCCAGTGACTTTGATGCTAGATTTCCACCTTCCTGGCTGTGACCCAGACATCTCGTGACCTAAATGGCAGTCATCTAAATCCCAACCCTATGCAATGACCTCAGACCAGAGTTTTCACCTTGAAAACTGAAAAAGAGTCAGCAGGCCTGGGTGTCCATAATAGCTGTCCAGTCCATAAGCATCCAACTACATTCTCTTAGAGGCTGTTCCACCTTCACTGTCTGTTCCTGGAAAGCAAGGCTGTCCAAGGTGCGGGCAGCACCAGCTTTTCACCTTTACTAAAGCTAGAAGAAATACTGATTCCCATGCTTGCTGAGATTGCTTTTTAAAAAACTCTATGAACTAGGAATTAAGGTTTTATACCAAAAAAAAATAAGAGAAATAACCAAAAATATAACCAACGTAGCTTATTTCCCATCATCTAGAGATGACTCCTGATGATATCTTTTCCCATCATTTTGGTATACATTCATATACCTCTACACATGAATATATCACAAATATATTATGTTTATAAAGCAGCATATTGTACATCCTGCTTTAACACTTTTATAATAAACTATAGCAATTTCAAATACACACTGTTGAACATATTTGTAAGTATACTTAAAATATGAGTTGCAACTAACATCAATTGTTTTGATATAAAGAAGAAATTAAAATCCACTATAAAACCACTATGTAGACATAATCACAATCAGCATTTTGGTGCATTTCTGAAAGTTATTGTGTGACACATATCAGAATCAGGGTTTTTCTGAATATTGTACTCTGTAACAAATTTTATGAAATGATTTTGACAGAAGAGTCTGCTTCATATTTCTCAATCATGCCAGGTAGTTGGGGTTAAAAGGGGACTTTGATGTGTAATTAAGCCACTTAATTAACTTTTATTTCATAGAGGTTGGCACTGTTTATGAACCTAATTTCTGTAACAGCCCAATAAATGTCAATACATTCATTTCAAGTTTCTTTAAATAAACACTCTGCCCAAGAAGGCTTGCCACCTGATTCAAAGAAGACCTCTCAGCTGATGTACAGTTTCCTCCTACAGGTTAAGCTAATTCATTGTCCAGAGTCACTATCTGACTTTCTAAAAAGGCTTTTAATAGTCTCCAAAATGCTGTTCACTTTAGAAAAATTTCAACCATCAGCTGAATACTGATTCATGCTGGATAAAACTCATGAATGTTAACAAGCAATTGGGATGCTATAATTTGGTTCTTTTCTTTTAAAAATGGACAACACAGTATTTGAAGGAACTATAATGCCAGGGAAAAGGCAAAGGCATGCAGAGACGTAATCCAGTCTACCCTTCCACTGCCCCCAGAGCAAAATAACAAATTGCCATTGCTAGAAAGAGGATCAGTGTTATTTTTGGTTTAACTTATAAAACAGGATTTAAGATTTTCAGTTAAAGTAGCATACCTAGGAACATTATAGCCCACAATGTTCATGATGGGCTATAATGATGTATATGACGTATATGTACCAAGGAAACCCTGAGGCATTCTTATTCAGATACAGTTTCACAAACATAAGAAATGAAACCTTTCCCATATCAGCAGGAATATACATTTTCTGAAATGCATTAGAGAGAAGGACAAAAGTTCCTTACCAACGAAAAAAGGTTAAAAACAAGTATTAGGTGTTTCAAGGGAAGGGACTTTCTGTACCTGGTACCATGTCATACAATCAATTCTATTCAACAAACATTTACCAAGAATGTTATACCACACACAGATAATTAAAGGAGGCTTGTAGACCTCAGAAGCCTAAGACAATGATTGTCAAAGTGTGGTTCCTGGGCTGGGAACACCACAGCACTATTTACTAGAAGATCTTAAATTGCAAATTCATTTTCTTTAGTACATGTAGGGCTATTTAACTTTTCTCTCTCTACTTAGAGTTTAATTGTTTCCTTAAGGTGGAAGCTTACATCTTCATAATTTGTTTCTAAATATTCCTATAATGCTTATATACCTTTCCAATTTTATAGTTTTTTGTTTTTTTTTTTTTTTTTTAACTGGCAGAAGGTATTCCAACATCCATTACTCTTCATACTGGCCAAAACCAAAAGTCATTGAAAAGAGTGAGTAAAACAAAACAAAACAAATCAGGCAGGGCAAAAGGTCTCCACACTGGTGAACTGTATTGTAGACTGAATGAAAAGACAGCCTAGCGCACATACAAAACATATCGGATACTGCAGTGGAAGAACTGTGTTTTGAATGGATGACTCCTCTGATACTTGCTTTCAATCCTGTGAGAGGAACTATAATTCAAACTTTCATGATTTTTAGTAGAAAGAAATGTATGGGAAAAGTGCAGCTAGGAAGATTATACCCAGAAACAACACACATACTGCTCCCATCCAGCAATGTGAAGCCATTTCCTTTTCTTTCCTTGCAGGAATATATACATCCCAGCTGCTGTCATCCCATTAAAAAAGACTAATAAGTCTAGGCGCGGTGGCTCATGCCTGTAATCCCAGCACTTTGGGAGGCCGAGGTGGGTGGATCACAAGGTCAGGAGTTCAAGACCAGCCTGGCCAATATGGTGAAACCCTGTCTTTGCTAAAAATACAAAAATTAGCCGGGCATGGTGGCAGGCACCTGCAGTCCCAGCTACTCAGGAGGCTGAGGCAGGATATAATCGCTTGAACCTGGGAGGTGGAGGTTGCAGTGAGCCGAGATCCAAGCACTGCACTCCAGTCTGGGTAACAGAGCAAGACTATCTCAAAAAAAAAAAAAAAAAGACTGATAAAAATCTCTTTTCCTACAATATATATTTTCTATTTTATCTCACTATGCTAGCTGAGATAAAATAGAAAACACAGTCCATGCTTGAGACAATTTAAGAAAAACTACAAAAAGCATCTGAGATAGTTTAGATTCTGGAAATGTCAAATGTCAGAATTTTTAGTCAAAACTGTAGAATTACAAAGTTGCCACTAAAATATAGTGGGCAAAGGATAGTCACTCCAAATGGGACAAAAAAAGAATCTTCACTCCTACTTCTCATCATACATGCAGATCATTTCCAGATGAATCATAGACCTAAATGTGAAAGGCAAAATAGTAAAGCTTCTGGAAATACTATAGGAAAATATCTTTATGACCTTCAGGTAGGCGAAATTTTTTAAACAGGATACAGAGACCTACCTGTAAAGGAAAAGACTGAAACTGGACATCACTGTTCAAAGGATATCAAGTATAAAAAAGAAAGCCTTAGAGGAGAAAAACATGTTTGGCTCATAATTCTGACAATACAGAATATATGAAGAACTCAGACAACTCAACAAGACAAAAAAAGTTTTTAATAGGCCAAAGTCTTGATTTTTTTAATATATAAATAAAATAACCTCATTGAGCTTACTTTCTCCACACGAAAAATAGGGTCATATCACCTATCTTACAAGATTCTTCTCAGGATCAGGAATAATGTGTATATAACACAAACCACCGTGTCTAATAGGTGCTCAATAAGCACCTGTTATACAAGGAGTTCGCAGATACAGTATCACTCAGAATCAATCATCAACCCCTTTTATACATAAACTTTCCTCTTGTAAAATCAAGATAATTATAAAATCAAGATAATGTTCCACCTGACCTGCCAAATAAGTCTGTAGCATTTCTGCTATGGAAAGTCATAGGAGGTAAAAGTACTCATTGAATATACGTGAACTTCCAAAGAAAAGTACACAGCTTGATCATTCCCATTTCAATATTAAAAGAGTTGCCAATTTAGTCATCAGTGAAACTATACAAGAACTGGGTCATGACATTTTATTATTCAGCTACTTTATGAACTCCATATGCAACTGCAGCTGTCAGCTCTAATACTAGAGGATCAAATGAGTTGGAAAGATTAAACAAATGGGCAGGAGAGATGCCAAGAAGGGTATAAACTCCTGGACAGGAGTCCAGTTGGTTCAGTTACAAAGTTGATCCTTAGAAGACTTATGTGCACTACAGGCACGCACTGAAGAGAAGCATAGGCTGAGATGCATGAAATACAAAAAGAGAAGAGGCTGAGATGCATGAAATACAAAGAAAAGAAAACGAAGGCAAATACAGGTGTAAAAAAAACCAGTACTACTGTGGTTTTCAGACTAATTCTGAGTCTACTTTTAGTCTTACAAATAAATATATTCACTACTTATCATAGAGAATAAAATATAGGTTCTGTAAGAAATCTCACTTTTACTTTTTTGAGACAGAGTCTCGCCCTGTCACCCAGGCGGAAGTGCAATGGTGCGATCTCGGCTCACTGCAACCTCCACCTCCCGGGTTCAAGCGATTCTCCTGCCTCAGCCTCCCGAGTAGCTGGGACTACAGGCATGCGCCACCACGCCCAGCTAATTTTTGTATTTTTAGTAGAGACGGGGTTTCACCATGTTGGCCAGGCTGGTCTCGAACTCCTGACCTCATGATCCGCCCACCTTGGCCTCCTAAAGTGCTAGGATTACAGGCGTGAGCCACCGTGCCCAGCCAACTTATTTTTTAACATTAACATATATCTGGGATTTAATAAAAATCAGATAATGTATTTTTAAACAAAAAAAATCAGGTTGTTGCCTATATCACACCATCTAAGCTAACAGGGGGAACACAAATAATGGGTCAATAAAAAAAGAAATCCCCTGAGATCTTGAAGTCAAATTCAAAAAAAAAAATCCCACAAGTTTTCTAATCTAAAATTACTTGAAGATAAGTCTTCAAACTTCCAAATTCTGACCGTATAATCATATTACCCTAGCTATTTCTCTTCTATTATTATCTTTATGACTGTAAGTTTTAAATAGAAGGCACACTTAAGAATTTATAAGTAACTCAAAGTACTCTAAACTCAGTTCTATTCATTCCACAAGAAAGGTCAGTACACTATCTTGGTGCAAGTCTGTGACACAGAAACTTTTTACAATGTCACAATGTTAAAAAACAAAAAGCTTTTTCTCTGTCTTTTTTTTTTTTTTCCTGTGGCTGAATTATTCGGGAAAATCTCAGGCCAATTGATAACCTAATAAAACAAAGAAAAACTAGCCAAAAGCTTTGTGAATTTGTGTTTTTCCAGTTACCAACATTTTCACAGCCCATGCTTGATTTATCTCCTATGCATGGATCTAGTTTTCATTCATACAAGACTTGGAACATAGAAGAACCTGCCTTAGTTGAAGTCCTCTATTAGTTTTCTCAATGGTCCAGCTATCTGAATAAGTTCTATGGCTTCCATTCCACTTTGTCTCTCTGAAAAAAGCAATGGAATCCACATTTTTAAAATGGCTAATGCGGGTGTGGTGGAACTTGCCCATAGTCCCAGCTATCGGGAGGCTGAGGCGGGAGGACTGCTTGAGCCCAGGAGTTCAAGTCCAACCTGGGCAACACAGTGAGAAAATCTTGTTTCTATAAATAAATAATATAAATTGGCTGGGCATGGTGGCTCACGCCTGTAATCCCAGCATTTTGGGAGGCAAAGGCGGGTGGATCACTTGAGGTCCGGAGTTCAAGACCAGCCTGGCCAACATGGCAAAACCTCGTCTCTACTAAAAACACAAAAATTAGCCAGGTGTGGTGACATGCACCTGTAATTCTTGGGAGGTTGAGGCACGACAATCACTGAAATCCAGGAGGCAGAGGTTGCAGTGAGCCGAGATCACACCACTATACTCCAGCTTGGGCAACAAGCTGAGTGAGACTCTGTCTCTTAAAAAATGATAATAATAATAACAAATAATAACAATATAAATTTTAAAATTGCAAGCACATCGCTGCCTGTCACATATAAGTAAAAGTGTAAAAAGGGTAATATTCATAAATTTAAACAAAGATATGCCCAACACATTTGTTTAAAATCCTAATTCAATGTTTGTGCTTACAAATCTAAGGTCAAGCTATTATTGTTATCTTAAAATCAAGAATACAACTACAATGAGACCCACCCCACCAAAGGCACCTTGCAAGACAGTCTTACAAATTCATGTTCTTCTCACGATTATTTATAAAACAGAATTTAGAAAAATTTTAAATATCTAATAATAGTGGATGTGTTAATTAAGGTACCTGTAACAGAATAGTGTAGAGCAACTGAAATGGATATTTCCTGAGAATTTTTAGTAGCCTGAAATAATTTAATGATACATGGTGGGGGTCAGAGGGAGAAGTATAATTCAAAATCCATAAACAGTATAGCCTCAGTTTCACAAAACAATAGCTACAAAGAGGAAAAACACCTCAAAATGTTACAGTAGCTTATACTTGGATGTTTATTTTTTTCTCCTTCCTACTGAACAAAAATATTGGTTTAAAATTTAAAATGTTTCTCTGAACAAAAACATCAACCTAAAATGATTTTTCAGTTAAATATAAAAGACTACAAGATCACTTAAGCCACAATGATAGAAGTACCTAGTCAAGTCAACTATACTTCAGATCCCAATAAATCAGATAATGTTATTTCAAGAAATCCTTAAACCTGAGAATTACCAATGTACCTTGCTCATGTTTTAGAAGTAGGGGGAATTTTTATCCCCAAATAATTGATGACCAAGAAAATATTAGGTGCACAAATAAGTTTTAAGAAACTGGCTAAAGTGTAAATCTTAAATATTAGAAATAGAAAGAAGACAAGTGAAAAAAGTAGAAGGAAAGAGGTTATAATAAAAAAGACTGAGATGACAAGGGTCAACAGTGGTTGCACTTACTCACTTCCACTACTCTCAGGAAACACTCTGTGCTATGAACTCACAGGGAGAAATGCCATTCCCTCAAGTAATTGTTCCTGGATCATGAAGATAAGAAAAAGCACACCTTTGTGCTAAAACCACAGCACTGAACTACTCTAAAGAAAATCCACGATAATTTTTCCATCGTGGTACAAATTATTATCACTTAACAGTAAACAAAGAGAAATACCAGTGACCTCATCTATTGTATACTTTGCATAGTGAAAAAATCCAAATGTTTTAACCTGAGATATTTCAGAAATGGCAATTGCAAAACAATACTCACAGCCCCCCATAAAAGATTCTTTTCATAACATCCAGCAATCTTCTGATTAACCTATTTCCTGCTTCTGGAGCAAGGATTTGGATCCATAATTTGTTGGTAGAAACTATAGGCATTCTGTATTTAGACACTAGACACATACACATCTAGTGTTCAACATGATAAAGAACTAACTAATGGGAAGTACAGAGTTCTGTTTCATAAGTCTTCTTCTGGCAGTGATGCAGGCTCAAGGAACTACGCAAGCAACGCATTTCAAAATTCCACGAAGGTGTTTCAAAATGTACTGAGAGAGCTCTAGAATACCGGGGGTGGACTAGGAAGTATGATGCCAAATACATGTAACTTTATTACATTTATGGCATTTAGGCTTATAACAAACTTCCCTTTAAAAATAGGTCTTGGTCAGGCGCAGTGGCTCACACTTGTAATCCCAGCACTCTGGGAGGCCTAGGCGGGTGGGTCACGAGGTCAAGAAATCGAGACCATCCTGGCTAACATGGTGAAACCTCGTCTCTACTGAAAATACAAAAAAAAAATTAGCCAGGCGTGGTGGCAGGCGCCTGTAGTCCCAGCTGCTCGGGAGGCTGAGGCAAGAGAATAGCGTGAACCTGGGAGGCGGAGCTTGCAGTGAGCCCAGATCCCGCCACTGCACTCCAGCCTGGGCAACAGGGCGAGTCTCTGTCTCAAAAAAAAAAAAAAAAAAAAAATTGGTCTTAAAAGATCTGAGGATTCTTTTTGACAGACATCAGAAAATTGTAAGAAATACTGCAAGCAATGCTGAATAGTGAAACTGTGTATAAGCTCTCCATATTCCCAAAAGCAAAAAAGGGCCTTCCATTTTTTTCCAGGAATGGTTATGCGGGTTACCTAGCAATCCCAAGTAATTTCTATATAAAAACAAGTCAGGTTTTTAAAAGAGGAAGGCACTGATTGATAGGCAAATTTCTCATCCTTGTTATGCCTATAAAGTAAAATTATGGATTAAAATGAATGTTTTATGTTTGAGGCCAGAAATTAGAGACCAACCTAGGCAACATGGTGAGACCCCATCTCTACAAAAATAAATTTTAAAAAATTAGCTGGGTGTTATGGCATGTGCCTGTCATCCCAGCTACTCAACAGGCTGAGGCAGGAGGATCACTTGAGCATAGAAGGTTGACGTTACATAGTGAGCTACTATCATACCACCATACCTCAGTCTGGGCGACAGAGTGAGGCGCCATTTCTTAAAAAATAAGATGGGATTTTTTATTTTTATTTTGTTTTTTTTCTGAGACAGAGTATCCCTCTGTCACCCTGGCTGGAGTGTAGTGGTGTGATCTTGGCTCACTGCAACCTCTGCCTCCCAGGTTCAAGCTATTCTCCTGCCTCAGCCTCCCAAGTAGCTTGGATTACAGGTGCCCACCAGCACGTCTGGCTAATTTTTGTATTTTTAGTAGAGGTGGGGTTTCACCATGTTGGCCAGGCTGGTCTTGAACTCCTGACCTCAGGTAATCCACCCACCTCGGCCTCCGAAAATGCTGGGATTACAGGCATGAGTGACTGCACCCAGCCTAAAAAGGGGTATTTTAGTTAATTTATCACATAACAGATGTTTTAAAACACCTAAACATTAATCATGATGTAAATTCAACATTTACATAACACAAATGTCCCTTTTCATGTGATAGTCAGATGTTGTAGTCAGAATCAAACCATAATACCTAGACTCAGCTCAACTTTGTAACATCACTTCTTAAAATTATTATGTTTCTATGTTATATGGAATAGCAAACTAAAAATTGTATGTTACCTTAAAGCACTTTGAGAGTAGGTGAGGACATTTTGATGGGTATAGTAAAACACACACCTGATGCAGCTTATGAACCAACAAGTGGAAGCATGAAGAAAACTACTTGGAGAAATACACACTAACATCATAAAGTCTTAAGACATTTAGAAATCCTCCCATTGCATGGATAAGAAAATTGAGGCCAAGACTGACAAGGCAGTCAAGATAAAGCCATACTATATGAGGCAGACAAGATATGCACACTTCAGAGCTCCCAACGGATTTTTTTTGGTGTAATTTCCAAGGTATTATACATCCAAATAATTAACTCTTTCTTGAACACACCATCATCTAGTATAATACTGTAATGCAGTGGTGATTTTGAGAGCTAGTAACCTACCTCCAACAATCAC
This sequence comes from Homo sapiens, assembly GCF_000001405.40. Lineage (NCBI taxonomy): Eukaryota > Metazoa > Chordata > Mammalia > Primates > Hominidae > Homo > Homo sapiens. The sequence continues at coordinate 32,483,959 of NC_000012.12, read as the reverse complement.
TTGCTGTCAATAAATGTTATTTTCATAAACTTTAAAAGCTGATCTTTATGAAGTGAAAGGTATAGTAATACACAGTATGTTCATATACTGTGGTGGTGTCCATCTGAGGGCTAATGCTTTCCAAACCTCACCAATTCCAGCCATCATCCTCATCCAGGTCAGCTAAGGGCTGGGTGTGTCCTCTACAGTCAGGATAGGTTTTACACAGGAAGTGCTGGCACTTACACAGGCTGGAGTGAAGATGTCAAATGAGGATGTCAGCATTTTTGGTTCCCTCTCTCTAGCTCAGAAAAGTACTGCAGGAAACTTCAAACTGACCATATGCCAATGAGTTATGGGCTAAAACTGGAACTGTCCTGCACTGCTACTGTGAACCAGGGCCAGAAGGATCCTCATGAGTATGCTGGCCTTTGTTCTTGACCTCTTTTTTCAATGTTTTGGCAGTTTGGAGGGCAAAGAAAAAGAAAAGTTATATGGAATATTTTCTGATGATTTGGCATTGTACATTGTAGATTTTTATGTATCTTTACAATCAACTAAACCTTTCACTATTCATTCAGAGATTATATGGATCTAGCCGTAGAAAAATGTTGCAGGGATTACACTGAAATAAAATTGCACCCATAGATGTGTGATTGTGCTATTTTTCTGAGTTCTCTGCACAGATTCTCTGCCTTGTAGATTTTACAAAATACAGATTTATCCCTACTGGCTTTAAATCAAGTGATCCTGATCAATTTACTCACACATGCTTGAATTTCAGAATGGCTATAGGAACTGCAATTTTAACCAATTCGTTACAAGCTAAAATTAGTATTCTACCCACACACACACACAAAAATTATCATGTGGCTAAAAATAAAGCTTCATAAAAGGAGAATACACTAAGCTATTTATATTTTCCTAACACCATCATTATATTCCGTATCTTGATAAAATTATCAGTAATTATAGCTGTATACTTAACTTGCTATGTGCTCTCCTCATAACAACCTCAACAAAAAGTCATTAATAGGTGTTGAAACTGAGAACATCTATACATCATCTATAACTGAGAAAGTAACTTTCCAGATAGTAAACGGCAGGTCTGGAATGCAAATCCTGAACTATTTAACTTCAAAACGTGATTTCTAAAGTGCAGAACGTCTGCTTATCCTCCCAAAGTTTGTCAAAATTATTAACGTGGGATGAAATAAAAATTTTTACCCTATGTCTTCGTTTTCTTGTATTCTCCCCCCAAACTCAAAACTTAAAAATTTTTATGCCTGGTAAAGTTCCTCTTTCTACCTCATGGGATTCTTTGCATAACTAAATTCCTGGAAACTCTGTATTTAATCTACTTGTAAGCAAATCATTTTATATATAATCTGGAATAGTGGGATCATTTTAGAGTAACATATCTTGCAGTCCTACAGTCCGCTCAGCAATAGTTGCTTTTATCTTAATTTGCTTATTCGCTGTACAAATGAGAAGAACATATGTGTAACTTCCTCAAGGTCACTTCGAGCCAGAAATAGAATTTTGGTTTAAGGTCTGGTTGCTAAACCACACTTCCTCTTCAATGGTAAGCTACCATTGGTAAGCTGGTCACTAAGAAATAGAAAACAAGAAGCATGGGATATTCAAAATACTTTTCATGCCAGAATTTCTCTTTTCCCTACCCATCTGTCTCTGTTTTTCCCATCTCCTAAATATGCTATATTGTGATTATGGAAAAAGACAGCAACTGCTTTGGCAGATAAGGAAAAACACCTTATTCCTATTTCAAACATGAAGCAAATATTTCATTTCCTTTGTTTATTAAAATATATAATGTGGCCTTGAAAGTCACGGCACTTTTTTAAAAAATGCTTAATTTATCCATTCTATTTAATTTTACTGGTATAGACAATTACTTTGATTTGTAAATTTGAGACTGTTCTCTAAGAAATGTGTAGGTACCAAGACATGTGACAACTGGCACTACTATAGAGGGTTTTATTTAAAGCAGACTGCCCAATTGAACTTTATGCAATAATGAAAATGTTCTATAATTGTGCTATATAATAAGGTGGCCACATGAGCACTTGAAACATGGGTTCGTGTGATCAAGGAACTGAAATTATTTCAATTAACTTAGATGTTCTTTTTTTTTTTTTTTTGAGACAGTCTTGCTCTGTCACCCAGGCTGGAGTACAGTGGCACAATCTTGGCTCACTGCAACCTCTGCCTCCCAGGTTCAAGAGATCCTTCCACCTCAGCCTCCCAAGTAGCTAGGACTGCAGGTGCACACCACCACACCCAGCTAACTTACATATTTTTAGTAGAGACAGGGTTTCACCTTGTTGGTCAGGCTGGTCTTGAACCCCTGATCTCCTGATCCACCCGCCTCAGCTTCCCAAAATGCTGGGATTACAGGCGTGAGCCACCGCACCCGGCTGATGTTCATTTTTAAAGCAATCTGTGGCTAGTGGACGGCATAGGTCTAAAGTCTGGATATATCTTTTAGCATTTTATTTAGAAATACTTACAGACTCATAGGAAGTTGCAAAAATATGACAGAGAGGTCCAGTGTACCATTCACCCAGTTTCCTTTGATCATTACATCTTGTAAGACCATATTACAATATGAAAACTAGAACACTTGCATTGCCACAATGTATTTGGCAGCTAATTTTTGTATGGCCAGCTAATTTTTATATTTTTACTAGAGACGGGGTTTCACCATGTTAACCAGGATGGTCTTGATCTCCTGACCTCATGATCCAACCGCATCGGCCTCCCAAAGTACTGGGATTACAGGCATGAGCCACTGCGCCCGGCTTTTTTTTTTTTTTTTTTTTTTTTTTTTTTGAGACGGAGTCTCACTCTGTCACCCAGGCTGGAGTACAGTGGCACTATCTCAGCTCACCGCAAGCCGGGGATTGCTTGAGCCCAGGAGTTCAAGGCCAGCCCGGGCAACATAGGGAGACCCCATCTCAGCATGCATACACACACAATTATTTTTACATTGGCCGGGTGTGGCCATGCACACCTATGGTCCCAGCTACTTGAGAATGTAAGGTGAGAGCATCATTTAAGCCCAGGACGTCAAGGCTGTAGTGAGCCATAATGGTGCCACAACACTCCAGCCTGGGCAATAGAGCAAGATCCTGTCTCAAGATTTAAAAAAAAAAAAAAAAGGCCGGGCGTGGTGGCTCACGCCTGTAATCCCAGCACTTTGGGGGGCCAAGGAGGGCGGATCACGAGGTCAGGAGAGCAAGAGCATCCTGGCCAACATGGTGAAACCCCGTCTCTACTAAAAATACAAAAATTAGCTGGCCATGGTGGTGCGTGCCTGTAATCCCAGCTACTCGGAAGGCTGAGGCAGGAGAATCACTTCAACCTGGGAGGTGGAGGTTGCAGTGAGCTGAGATTGCGCCACTGCACTCCAGCCTGGTGACAGAGTAAGACTCCGTCTCAAAAAAACGAAAAAAACAAAGAAAGAAAGAAAAGAAAAAAGAGAAGAAAAAACAAACAGGTTGGGCGTTGTGGCTCACACCTGTAATCTCAGCACTTTGGGAGGCCGAAGTGGGCGGATCACGAAGACAAGAGATCGAGACCATCCTAGCTAACACGGTGAAACCCCGTCTCTACTGAAAATACAAAAAAATTAGCTGGGCATGGTGGCACGTACCTGTAATCCCAGCTACTTGGGAGGCTGAGACAGGAGAATGGTGTGAACCTGGCAGGCGGAGCTTGCAGTGAGCCAAGATCATGCCACGGCACTCCAGCTCTGGGTGACAGAGCGAGACTCAGTCTCAAAACAAAAAAAACAAAAAAAACCCCCACAAACAAACATATCCATTTGGGGCAAATAAGCAGAATATGCTGAAAAACAGACTTTACAGGCAGGGCGTAGTGGTTCATGTCTGTAATCTCAGCACTTTGGAAGGCTGAGGCAGGCAGATCACTTGAGCCTGGGAGTTTTGAGACCACGCTGAGCAACATGGAAGGACCCTGTCTCTATAAGAAAATACAAAAAATTAGCTGGATGTGGAGGTACGCATGTGTGGTCCCAGTTACTTGGGAGGCTGAGGCAGGAGAATCACTTGAACTTGGGAGGTGGAGGTTGCAGTGAGCCGAGATTGCGCCACTGAACTCCAGCCAGGGTGACAGAGTGAGACCCAATCTCAAAAAAAAAAAAAAAAAAAAGAATAATGCTTTATAAATTTTTCTGCTTATATTTCTGCAGAGAAGGTCAAGTGGAAAAAATAAATTCTGTTAAATAGTAAACGAATATAACTATTTGGACAATTTACTAAAACTACAGGAAAAAGTGAAATGTATGAAAAAATCTTTAGAGGATTAAATTTAATTAGCCTAGCAGTGAGAGGTCTGTGAAAATACAGACCTCTCACTGCTAGGCTAATTAAGGAATATAATCAGAAAGTTATGTACCTACCCAGGGGAAATAAAGGATAATTTAAAAATTATATGCAAGAATACATTCTTTACAATAGGAGTTTAAAATAGTAAGAATTCATGGGAGGCTGAGGTAGGATGACTGCTTAAGGCCAGAAGTTTGTGACCAGCCTGGGCAACACAGGGAGACCCCGTTTCTATTAAAAATAAAATAGAACACAGCAAGTTTTACAAAACTTTAGTTATATGACTACACTTTAGTCATATTTAATAGGAAATGAAACAAGGTCCTATTAAATATGATTAAGTATAGTTGTGAGGCAAGAGCACCAAAAAAACTCAGAGACCTCCTCAAATAGCACAAGTATGTACTCCAAGCCTTCAGAAAACTACATTCAGCTTTCAAATCTGACTGTGAAAAATTGTGAAGACTGAAGACCAAGGAGCCAATTACAGTGAACATTTCCTGTTCACCTCTGTATCTCCTAGTTAACATTTTACTAGTTCACATACAATAATTACTTGACAGATTAATAAGTATCTAGCATATCCCAAAGCAAACGGAGTTATAAGTTGGGCAGATACAGAAGTAAATAATCTCTAGAAACCAACAGTGTGGGCATCGTTGCTGAAATGGTTGGTAATGGTATCGTGCCATGGAAGTTTGACACTGGGATGGAGAATATCCAGAAGGAGCTGGAAGGATTCTTCATGCAGATTCATATGCCACGGATCATAATTGTGATCATGCCTCAACCACACTACCCATAAGATCATTCCTAAATATGTTACTCAACCAGACTTGGTAAGGTATGAGGAGGACGGAAGATTAAAACATAAATGGAAGAACAAAGAGAGAAAAAGGAGGAAGCACAAAGTCAATCACACTTGCAAACTACTCAGGTGTGGGAAAGTAAAACTACAAGCAACTAAGGGAAGCTTGTGCTATCCCAAATATTTTCACAATCATATTGAAGAAAAATATTCAAGTTATTTCAATACTTAACAAGAAGCCAGGCACAACGGCTCACATCTGTAAGCCCAGCACTTTGCGAGGCCAAGGTGGGCAGATCACCTGAGGTCAGGAGTTCAAGACCAGCTTGGCCAACATGGTGAAACCCCATCTGTACAAAAAATACAAAACATTAGCCAGGTGTGGTGGCATACAACTGTAGTTTCAGCTATTCAGGACGATGAGGCGTGACAATTGCTTTAATCTGGGAGACGGAGGCTGCAGTGAAAGCCGAGATCGTGGCACTCCACTTCAGCCTGAGCAACAGAGTGAGACTCTGTCTCATTAAAAAACACAATCACATTGAAGAAAAATATTTAAGTTATTTCAATACTTACCAACAACTTACTGATGCTATCAAGAAAATGTATAACCAGAAACAAAAGCATTAAATCAAAAGTACAACAATACGATAAAAAAGAAAATAAAGGTCAAAGACTTAATACTAATCAGATCCTATGAAAGATGGATATAAACTCTGTTGAATCACTGTTGTCACAGGGCATTAATTTGATATTTTTTTTCTAAACAGAACTCCAAATTAGATATGGAGAAATTTACTAGCCTAAGTGCTTCACAAATTCAGGAAGCCATTTACTATCCTGTCTGAGCAAACCTAATAGATGACTCGAGTGAATGAGCAAAGGCAGAGGCAACCTCTGCTGCCATCTGTTTTGTCGTCTCCTACCAATCTACAAACAGCTGCACCACAAAAGTTCCAAGTGATAGAAAGCCCTGGGCTTCTGTCATCCCATTATTCCTTCTTTGGTTTACCACAATCATTTCTACAATGCATCCAGATTATGCCTTTCATTGTTCACAACTCTTAAAGAGCATCTGGTTCTATTTTGAGGAGGGGAGTGTGTGGAAGGGGACTCTTTCTCTACACTTAGTAGTGTATAAGACAAGCTTTATTTTAAAAAAAATACACCGTTCACTGGTAAGATCAAGATGTATAAACACATTCACACTTTCCTGTCACACACAAACTTTGACACAACCAATGGTGCTGGAGAGTGTTACTCTGTTGGCAAGGAACTTAAAATGACTTCTGTCCATCTGTGAAATACACCATTTAAAATTTCTTCCAATGGTGCTTACTTTGGCAGCACATATACTAAAATCGGAATGACAGAGAGAATACAAGGATGACATGCAAATTCGTGAAGTGTTCCATATTAAAATAAAATTTCAACAAACTGATATCAAGAGAGGCTCTTTATATGGAAAGGTTTTCTTGCTACCTCCTTCCAGATCTTCAAGGTTTTTTTTTTTTTGAGACGGAGTCTCACTCTAGTCACCTAGGCTGGAGTGCAGTGCATAATCTCAGCTCACTACAACTTCTGCCTTCTGGGTTCAAGCGATTCTCCTGTCTCAGCCTCCTGAGTAGCTGGGATTACAGGCACCCACCACCACGCCCGGCTAATTTTTGTACTTTTAGTAGAGAAAGGGTTTCGCCATGTTGGCCAGGATGGTCCTGAACTCCTTACCTCAGGTGATCCGCCTGCCTTGGCCTCCCAAAGTGCTGGAATTACAGGCATGAGCCACGCACCTGGCCAGATCTTCATTTTTCAAGTAGTAAACAATTACTTTTCACCAACTCATAACCTTAAGCCAAGAGTGTCTTTTCAGTACTGTTAAAGAAAAACAGCTCACAGATTACAGTGGATTAATGACAGCCACAACTTCTGCCACTACCCCCACTAAGAGATGGGGTCTATTTCTCCACCTCCTTGAATCTGAGCTAGGTATATGATTGCTTTGTCCAGCAGAAAAGACCAGAAATTCCACTGTATGCCAAATGCGAGCTTAATCTTTAAGAGGCCAGGCACCTTCTTTTATGTTTTTTTAATTAGAAACAGGTTCTCACTGCTACCCAGGCTGGCCTCAAGTGATCCATCCACTTCAGCTTCCTGAGTAGCTGGTATTACAGGCACATAGCCCTGCACCTAGCTAGAGGCATGGCAACTTCTGCTTCCTGCTTTTTGGAATCTAGCTGCCACATTGTGAGAAGGTCAAAGCAGAACATGCATCAGAAAGGGCTGCGTGGAGGAGAATTAAGGTCCCAGTTGACAATTCCAACTAAAACCTCAGGTGGTAGGACCAACTCGACAGTCATATAATTAAGGTATCTTGGAAATAAATCTAATCGAGCTGTCAGCACACAGATCAGAGATGTGCCATTCCTACCAAACTCTGGCCAAATTGCAAGACCATGCGTGAGAAAATACTTGTTTTTAAGCCATTAAATTTTGAAATTATTAATTATGCAACAATAGATAACCAAAACAAAATTTGGTATCAGAAAGGAGGCTCTGCTATAACAAAAACTCAAAATATGTACGGTTTGGGTCCAGGTGGTAGACAACAGCTAGAAGACTGCTGGTAAAGATTTGAAAAACAGTATAGAAATGTTACTGGTGGCTGAAGAAATGGAGACCTAAGAAAAAGCAGCAGACCCGTTTCATACAGTAACATGGAGAACAGAAAGGGTACCTAATGAACTCATGCACCCAACTAAGGAGAATTCCAAGAAGAATGTCAAAAGTGCCAACTGGCTTGTTTTTAGCTGCCTACAATAAAATATAGGAGTAGTGACATGAATTTAAAAAGGAACTGTTTGGTTCCTTTTTAAGCAGAATTCAGAGGAAATATAAAGAAGTTGGACTTCATGGGTTAAAAAATAAAACAATTCCTCTTTTCAGTAACTAAGCTTAAAACCACTCAAAATAAGAAATGGCCTTAGGGCAAAGATCAAATCCAGTGCTAGCAGTAAAGTAGAGCCTCTAGGATGTGGTGGTAAGATCCTTTTTTGAGACCTCATGAAGATGTTAGGTGGTTGCTCATGGACTTTCTCTTAGACCAGTGGTTCTAAAACTTCGTATGCATCAGACTCACCCGGAGATTTTATTAAAACCTAGATTTCTGGGCTGGATCATCACAGTTTTTCATCTAGAAAGTCTGGGATGGAGACTTCAACTGTAAGTTCCCAGGTGATACAAATGCTGCTGGTACAGACACCCGTGCTTTTGGAATCACATAACTAGACCAAAAGGCTTTAAAGAATCTTAAGTGGGTGCTTTGAGTACCAACTAAACCAGACAGTAGAGCTTTTGACAATAAAAGGTTATTTTCACATGACAGTCTGATACAAAGGCATCCAAGGTAAAGAAAGCCCTATCTTAAAACGATTTGTGGGAGTATTTTTTACCTAATGTTGTGAACCCCTAAGACATCTATGGTAAAACCCAAAAGGCATTTCAGAGAAATATACCAGTGGAAACACCATCAGCTTGGACTAATAGAGCCAGTTAAAAATGAAAAATACTAGCACCCTACTCGGACAGGAAGACGCCAAAAAACACAGGCCATTTCTTGTGGAAAAGAATCAGAAGACAGCCAAGAGCCTAGGGGATGGAGATGAGGGCCAAAGAGAGGCACCCAGGTAGTGAACTAGTTCCTCAACAAGGATATAGATCGAGCTAAATGTCAGAAATGCTATGCACCAGTGAAGGTCATGTGCCTCCCAGTCACATCTGCTGCTTTTTTCTGTTTAAATAAGTTTACAATGGCAAGGTTTTTACTATATTCACAGATACATATACCCGCCATCAATTTTAGACCTTTTCATCACACCAAAAATAAATTTGTTTTTAATTTGGAGATAGGGTCTGGCTTTGTCACCCAGGCTGGAGTACAGGGGTGCAATCACGGCTCACCGCAGCCTCAACCTCCTGGGCTCAAGCGATCCTCTTGCCTCAGCCTCCGAGTAGCTGGGACTACAGGCACACGACACCATGCCTGGCAAATTTTTGTATTTTTTGTAGAAATTTCGCCATGTTGTCCAGGCTATTCTCAAACTCCTGGATTCAAGCAATCAACCCACCTTGGCCTCCCAAGGTGCTGGGATTACAGGCATGAGCCACCTCTCCCAACCCAAAAAGAACCGTATACCTTTTAGCTATCACCTTCCCCCATTCCAGCCCTCCCAGCCTAAGCAACGCTAATCTTTCTGTCTATAGATTTGGCTCTTTGGGACATTTCATATACATGGAAGCATACAACACATGGTCTTTTGTGACTGGATTCTTTCACTTAGTACATTTTTAAGATTCATCCATGTTGTAGGTAGGAGTACTTTATTCTTTCGTACAGCCAAAAGAATGCCAGTATACAGGCATATCACTTTTTATTTACCTATTCATCAGCTGGACATTTGAGTTGTTTCCACCTTTTGGCTATTATATTGCAACTATAAACATTCATGTACAAGGTTTTCTGTGGAACTATGGTTTCATTGCTTTTGAGTATATGTCTAGGTACAGAATTGCTGGGTCATATGGCAACTCTATGTTTAACCTTCAAAGAACTACCCAGACTGTTTTCCAAAGCAACTGTACCATTTTACATTTCTACCAGCAGTGTGTCAGGGCTCTGATTTCTCCACAGCCCCGAATACTTTTTGTTTTTTTTTTTTGAGACAGAGTCTCGCACTGTCACCCAGGCTGGAGTGCAGTGGCGCGCTCTCAGCTCACTGCAACCTCTGCCTCCTGGGTTCACGCCGTTCTCCTGCCTCAGCCTCCCGAGTAGCTGGGACTACAGGCGCCCACCACCATGCTCGGCTAAGTTTTTGTATTTTTTAGTAGAGACAGGGTTTCACCATGTTAGCCATGATGGTCTCGATCTCCTGACCTCGTTATCTGCCCGCCTCAGCCTCCCAAAGTGCTGGGATTACAGGCATGAGCCACCGCGCCCGGTCCACAGCTCCTAATATCTTTTTGAAGAGGAATATCTGATGTAATTTTCCTGTCCCTGCCTTACCATTATATGTTGGGGTGGAAAGTGGGGAAGAACGGAAAATAACGTGTGCTTTTAATTCATAGGTCTTCAGTTTGAGATGAGCTGCACCCAGGTGTGTCCGGAATTGGTGGGTTCTTGGTCTGACTTCAAGAATGAAGCCGCAGACCCTCGCGGTGAGTGTTACAGCTCTTAAGGTGGCGCGTCTGGAGTCTGTCCCTTCTGATGTTCAGATGTGTTCGGAGTTTCTTCCTTCTGGTGGGTTCGTGGTCTCGCTGGCTCAGGAGTGAAGCTGCAGACCTTTGCGGTGAGTGTTACAGCTTTTAAGGCGGCGCGTCTGGAGTTGTTCCTTCCCCCCAGTGGGCTCCTGGGCTCGCTGGACTCAGGAGTGAAGCTGCAGATCTTCGCGGTGAGTGTTACAGCTCATAAAAGCAGCATGGACCCAAAAAGTGAGCAGTAGCAAGAGTTATTGCAAAGAGCAAAAGAACAAAACTTCCACAGTGTGGAAGGGGACACGAGCAGGTTGCCAATGCTGGCTCGGGCAGCCTGCTTTTATTCTCTTATCTGGCCCCACCCACATCCTGCTGATTGGTAGAGCCCAGTGGCCTGTTTTGTCAGGGTGCTGATTGGTGCGTTTACAATCCCTGAGCTAGATACAAAGGTTCTCCACGTCCCCAACAGATTAGTTAGATACAGAGTTTGGACACACAGGTTCTCCAAGGCCCCACCAGAGCAGCTAGATACAGAGTGTCGATTGGTGCATTTACAAACCTTGAGCTAAACACAGGGTGCTGATTGGTGTGTTTACAAACCTTGAGCTAGATACAGAGTGCCGATTGGTATATTTACAATCCTTGAGCTACACATAAAGGTTCTCCACGTCCTCACCAGAGCAGCTAGATACAGTGTCGATTGGTGCACTCACAAACCTTGAGCTAAACACGGGATGCTGATTGGTGTATTTACAATCCCTGAGCTAGATATAAAGACTCTCCACGTCCCCACCAGACTCAGGAGCCCAGCTGGCTTCACCTAGTGGATCCCGCACCGGGGCTGCAGGTGGAGCTGCCTGCCAGTCCTGCGCCCCGCACTCGCATTCCTCAGCCCTTGGGTGATCGATGGGACTGGGCGCCGTGGAGCAGGGGGTGGTGCTCGTCCGGGAGGCTTGGGCCACACAGGAGCCCATGGAGTGGGTGGGAGGCTCAGGCATGGCGGGCTGCAGGTCCCGAGCCCTGCCCCGTGGAAAGGCAGCCAAGGCCCAGCGAGAAATTGAGCGCAGCACCGGTGGGCCAGCACTGCTGGGGGACCCAGTACACCCTCCGCAGCCACTGGCCCGGGTGCTAAGTCCCCCATTGCCCGGGGCCAGCAGGGCTGGCTGGCTGCTCCGAGTGCGGGGCCCACCAAGCCCACGCCCACCCGGAACTCCAGCTGGCCCGCAAGCGCCACACGCAGCCCTGGTTCCCGCTCGTGCCTCTCCCTCCACACCTCCCTGCAAGCTGAGGGAGTGGGCTCCGGCCTTGGCCAGCCCAGAAAGGGGCTCCCACAGTGCAGTGGGGGGCTGAAGGGCTCCTCAAATGCCACCAAAGTGGGAGCCCAGGCAGGGGAGGTGCCGAGAGCAAGCGAGGGCTCTGAGGACTGCCAGCACACTGTCACCTCTCACAGGGAGCCTCACCTGGACCTGATGTAGAGGATGAGATCCTAGACCTGTCAAGCTGATGTAGTAATGGAGTGAGTGAGACTTGTATGGGCTGCTCTATCGTGCATGTGTGAAGGGCCAGAGAGCACACTCTGGTCAGTGGTTATTTTGGTGATCATCCCCAATGAACCACATGTCTAGGTGTTTACATTTTTGTTTAGTCACTTCCCACACTGATGTAGGCTGGGCCTATTACTGCCTTGACCATTAACACATGGCAGAAATGATGCTGTGCTGGTTCTGGGCCTAGTCCTTAACTGTGTGGGTAGCATCCACTGCCTCCCTGTTGGAATCCAGATACCACTCCACAAGTGACCCAAGCAGCCACCGGGTCCCAGCTGAGCACCCATCCAAGTCTCAGAGGAACACAGCCATTCCAGCACCTAGCCAACACCACATGAACCAGAAGAACAGCTTGGTCAGCCCACTGAATCATGAGACATAATAAATCACTAATTGAAGCTACTAAGCTTTAGAGTAGTTTATTACACTGCAATAAATAGCCAAAACAGATATCCCCTTTGGGTAGGCTTCTGAAGAGATGTAATGTGGAATAAACCTTTTCTTTCTTCTGAAAAATCTAATGCATTATACCTATGATCAATTCAACAACATTTAAACAAAGGAAACATAGCGTCTAAGTCTCAGGAGGCTTTTCTACAGTACATATTAGTCAGGGTTCTCCAGAGACACATAACAAATAGGATATAGATCAGATAGAGAGAGATACGGATGGATGAGAGGGAATTCACTAGGGAAATTGGCTCATGTGATTATGGAGGCCCAGAAGTCCCATAACTGGCCATCTGCAAGCTGGAGGCCCAGGGATGCCAGTGCCTGGCTCAGTTGAAGCCCAAAAGCCTCAGAACCAAGGAAGGCAATGATGTAATTCTCAGTCTGAGGCCAAAGACCTGAGAGCTTGGTGTGGGGGTTGGGGGGAAGGTTGGCAGGCCCCTAATTAGTCCAAAGGCCAAAGAACCTGGGGTTCCGATGTCCAAGGACAGGAGAAGAATGGAAAGACAGAGAAAGAGAAACATCTAAAATTAACCATCACAGGGTCTAAGCCATTAATAACAAATATTTCAAGTTTCCATTTTCAACAGAAAACAACAAACAGCTATGGAGGCCATCAAGAAAGAACACCCAAGGATGGGACATGTCAGCATTAGCTGACATCTCTTGATGGCAGACCAGAATACAGCCCAATCTAAGGCAAAGCCCTGTGTATCAAGTAAATTCACAAGAGAATGTGGAAGTCAGCAAGGACTACACAGGCACCAAACAATTGGTGGGAAGAGACAAGGAAACCTTCAAAGCAGGCCGGGCGCAGCGGCTCACGCCTGTAATCCCAGCACTTTGGGAGGCTGAGGAGGCCGGATTACCTGAGGTCAGGAGTTCGAGACCAGCATGGCCAACATGGAAAAACCCTCTCTCTACCAAAAATACAAAAATTACCCAGGTGTAGTGGTGTGCACCTGTGCTCCCAGCTACTAGGGAGGCTGAAGCAGAAGAATCGCTTGAACCCAGGAGCAATGAGCCAAGATCATGCCACTGCACTCCAGCCTAGGCAACAGAGCAAGACTGCAACTCAAAAAAAAAAAAAAAAAAGAAAAAGAAAAAAGAAAACTTCGAAGCAGTCAGAAGGATTAAGAAAGCAGTTCTTCTGAAACCTGTCATGGCAACGAGAGAATACTTCGGCATCAATACTTCCAGCAAAAACTTGTAAGCTCTGCTTTTTTGTACTGAGGCAGCTGCTGCCTTATGCCTGCTCCTTTGGATTTAGGAGTCCTCACATGTCTGATCCAATCACCCTGTCTTTTGGTCCATCTTATGGAGGGTCGAGATGGCATATATGGAACTTGGAGGCTTTCTGAAACTCTGGAAGAGGTATAGCAACTCCCTCATAAGGTTGTAGAATTATTCTAATTCGCACAGGATAATTCTTAGAAAACTGCCAGACACATAGTAAAATGTGAATATATTATACTATTAAATTACTACATATTTGTTCAATGACAAGTGTATCTGCTCTAAAAATGGTGACTTTCAGGGAAAAAAAAGTTTTTAAATAAAATATTATCAACCCACAAGTCTATTAATAGAAAATTGGTTAGGCCAGGCACAGTGGCTCATGCTTGTAATCCCAGCACTTTGGGAGGCCGAGGCGGGAAGATCATCTGAAGTTGGGAGTTCAAGACCAGCCTGACCAACATGGAGAAACCCCATATCTACTAAAAATACAAAATTAGCCAGGCATGGTGCCGCATGCCTGTAATCCCAGCTACTCGGGAGGCTAAAGCAGGAGAATTGCTTGAACCTGGGAGGCAGAGGTTGCGATGAGTCGAGATTATGCCATTGCACTCCAGCCTGGGCAACAAGAGCAAAACTCCGTCTCAAAAAAAAAACAAAGAAGAAAAAGAAAATTGGTTTAAACAAACTGTAGTCTAGGTATAGAGTGAAATACTATGTTGTCTTTAAAAAGATAGCAAATGGCCGGACGTGGTGGCTCACGCCTGTAATCCCAGCACTTTGGGAGGCTGAGGCGGGTAGACTGCCTGAGGTCAGGAGTTTGAGACCAGCCTGGCTAACATGGTGAAATCCTGTTTCTACTAAAAATACAAAAAAATTATCCAGGCATGGTGGCACACACCTGTAGTCCCAGCTACTTGGGAGGCTGAGGCAGGAGAATTCCTTGAACCCAGGAGGCAGAGGTTGCAGTGAGCCGAGATTGCGCCACTGCACTCCAGCCTGGGCGACAGAGCAAGACTCTGTCTCAATAAATAAATAAAAGATAACAAATTAGGGAATTTTAAAAGATTTCTGTGGAAAATTTCTAGTATATATAAATAAAAAAACAAGTTGAATAAATAGTATAATTCCATTTAAACAATAAGTATATACTGTTTGCGTATGTATTTTAAAAATCCGATAGAAACCACCAGAATAGGCCGGGCGCAATGGCTCATGCCTATAACCCCAGCATTTTGGGAGGCTGATAAGGGTGGATCATCTGAGGTCAGGAGTTCGAGACCAGCCTGGCCAACATGGTGAAACCCCGTCTCTACTAAAAATACAAAAATTTGCTAGGTGTGGTGGCAGGCGCCTGTAATCCCAGCTACTCGGGAGGCTGAGGCAGGAAAATCGCTTGAACTCGGAGGCGGAGGTTGCAGTGAGCTGAGATCGTGCCATTGCACTCCAGCCTGGGTGACAGAGTGAGACTCCGTCTCAAAAAAACAACAAAAAAAGAAACCACCAGAATAAATCAATGCTATAACTTGGGTGAGAACTTCACTTTCTACAAAATACATGGTTACAATATCTTTTCTTCCTTTGACAGGGTCTCATTCTGTTGCTCAGGCTGCAGTACAGTTGGGCGATCATAGCTCACTGCAGCCTCAACCTCCTGGACTCAAGCCATCTGCCTGCCTCAGCCTCCCAAAGTGCTGGGTTTACAGGCATGAGCCACTGCGCCCAGGCCTATAATATCTTTTTAACAGTAAGCACACGACTTTTATAATCAGAAAAAATATTAACGTAAAGGCACACAGATCCTTCTTAGAACACACCATACTTTTACCTGAATTTGTTTGCAATGTTTTCAATATTCATGCTTCTCTAGCACTCGAGAGCTCAAGTCTGTTTTTAGAACAACATCATAAGCTGCTACATGAGCTGTTTCCTGTGTCGGTCAGCTATTTTTAATTAATGAACATTTGCTGTAAGAGATCACTGAGAAAGAAAAACACCAACTCTTTTGCAAGTTACACTACAGAAAGGTTTCCTCTCTAGAATTAAAAAAAAAAAAAATACAGCATTCATCATACAGTAGACAATGATTGAGGATAAAATCAGAGTTAAGCAGTGGCTGGGCATAGTGAGGCACACCTGTAGTTCCCAGCTACTTGGAAGGCTGAGGTGGGAGGAATGCTTGAGTCCAAGAGTTTGAGGTTGCAGTGAGCCAAGAGGGTGCTACTGCACTCCAGCCTGGGTGACAGGGCAACACCCCAACTTAGAAAAAAAATTATAATTAAATAAAAATTAAAAAAAATTTTTTTTGAGATGGAGTCTCGCTCTGTTGCCCAGCCTGGAGTGCAATGGCGTGATTTCGGCTCACTGCAACCTCCACCTCCCGGGTTCAAGCAATTCTCCTGCCTCAGCCTCCCGAGTAGCTGGGATTACAGGCACCCACCACAACTCTCGGCTTATTTTTGTATTTTTAGTAGAGACAGGGTTTCACCACGTTGGCCAGGCTGGTCTCAAACTCTTGACCTCAGGTGATCTGCCCGCCTTGGCCTCCCAAAGTGCTGGGATTACAGGCGTGAGCCACCAAGCCCGGCCAAAAGTTAAAATTAAAGAAGACCAGTGGAAGGGAAGAAAGAAAACAATTAAAAAAATACAAGATTGGTTTTAAATCAAATATTTATATTAAGCACCTATGTATAAAACACTGTCCTACACTGACTAGAAGACTTAAAATTGTGGTTGCTGTTTCTGTAAGAGCAGTAATATAACTATGCCCTCCACTTTATTAGCTCCTTTCAAGGTTTATATGAGACAATATGGTTAAACAGTAGCTGCTATATAGACTTTAATTACGTTTTATTTATTTATTCTTCAACCAACAAGTTATATACCACCACAAGGAATTCTTCTGAAGAGTTAGCAGCATCCAAAAGAGGTAAGACTTGTCCAATGGTTGGGTAGTAGAGCCAGGGTTCCTAAGGTCCCACAAGCCACTCTCCCTTAGAATGGAGACAGAATTTTCCTGTAGATCTAATAAGGCCCTTATTGCACCGTGTATAGTAACATATATTCCAGGCTCAAAATGAAAAAAGGGTTTATTTTTCTTTTACCAAACTGTAATCCTCATGACAGGTGACAATCCACACAATTATAATAAACTCTACCCACATCCTCTTAACTCACCACTCTCCTAAATTCTTTGCATTTGTAACTGTTTCACAATAGGATGCTTTCTTGCCTATTTTTATTTGGTTCAAATAGGTTTTAGAATTTTTACTTAATAAAATATATTTCTACCTAATAAAATATATGTGCAATAAAAATGTAGCTAAAAATGCTGGGCTTGGAGAGAAGCTCTGGGAGTAGGGTGGTGAAGGCTGATGCCCTCTAAAAAGGCCTTGCCTGTACCACATTCCGTAGGAGGTGTAATTGCTAATTTTTTTTTTTTTTTTTTTTTTTTTGAGACAGACTCTCGCTGTGTTGCCCAGGCTGGAGTGCAGTGACGCCATCTTGGCTCACTGCAACCTCCCATTCCCATCTTCAAGTGATTTTCCTGTTTCAGCCTCCCGAGTATCTGGGATTACAAGCATGCGCCACCACGCCTGGCTGATTTTTGTATCTTTAGTAGAGACAGGGTTACGCCATATTGGCCAGGCTGGTTTCGAACTCCTGGCCTCAAGCAATCCACCCACCTCAGCCTCCCAAAGTGCTAGAATTTCAGCTGTGAGCCACCGCGCCCGGCCATGATTGCTAATTTTATATGTCAAGTTGGAAGGTATTTTGGATAACATTAAATCAGTGAGCTTTGAGCAAAGCAGACTGCCCTCCATAAGGTGAGTGGTCCTCATCCAATCAGTTAAAGGCCTGAACAGAACAGAGACCAGCCTCCCAAGCAAGAGCAAATTCCCCAGCAAATGGCCTTTGGACTTGTTTTGCATCATTGGCTGTCCTGGGACTTGAGCCTGCCAACCCCACTGCAGATTTGGACTTGTCAGCCTCCATAATCTCATGAGTTAATTCCTTATGATACAATTTTTTATATGTATATGTACAGGCACACTCAGAGATACTGCAGGTTCAGTTCCAGACCACCAAAACAAAGTGAATATCTCAAAGCTAGTCGCAAACTTTTTTCATTTCCTAGTACATATAAAAGTTAAAGTTATGTTTACAATACACTGTAGTTTGGCAAATGTGCAATACCATTATATTTTAAAAAACAATCGACATCCTTAATTAAAATATACTTTAGGCTGGGTACAGTAGCTCACGCCTATAATCCCAACACTTTGGGAGGCCGAGGTGGGAGGATTGCTTGAGGCCAGGAGTTCAACACCAGCCTGAGCAACATAGCAAGACACCATCACTACAAAAATTTAAAAAGTAGCCACGCATGGTGGCGTATGACTGTGGTCCCAGCTGCTTGAGAGGCTGAGGCAGAAGGATCACTTGAGACCAGGAAGCTAACGTTGCAGTGACCAGTGACTGCACCACTGCATTACAGTTTGGGTTACAGAGCAAGATCCTGTCTCAAAAAACAAACAAATGCACAAATACACACACACACACTTTGTTGCTAAAAAATACAACGATCATCTAAGTCTTCAGTAAGTAATACTCTTTCTGCTAATGGAGGGTCTTTCTTTGATTTTTTTTTTTTTTAAGACGTTGTCTTGCTCTGTCGCCAGGCTGGAGCGCAGTGGCGCGATCTCAGCTCACTGCAACCTCTGCCTCCTGGGTTCAAGCGATTCTCCTGCCTCAGCCTCCCGAGTAGCTGGGACTACAGGTGTGCGCCACCACGCCCAGCTAATTTTTGTATTTTCAGTAGAGACGGGGTTTTACCATGTTGGCCGGGATGGTCTCCATCTCTTGACCTCGTGATCTGCCCGCCTCAGCCTCCCAAAGTGCTGGGATTACAGGTGTGAGCCACCGCACCCAGCCTCTTTCTTTGATGTTAATGGCGGCTGACTGATGAGGGTGGTGGCTGTTAAAGGTGAGGGCTGGGGGGGCTATGGCAATTTCTTAAGACAAGGAAGAAAACAGTATATTATATATATATATAAAACATACAAAATATGTATTAATCGACTGTTTATGTTATCAGTAAGGCTTCTGGTCAATAGTAGGCTATTAGTAAATTAAATTTTGGGGTAGTCAAAAGTTATATGTGAATTTTCAGCTCAACAGGGGTCACTGCCCCAACCCCAAAGCTGTTCAAAAGTCAACTGCATTTTTTAACACTTTCTATTGTTTTTACTCCTCCTGTTCCTCTAATTTCCATAATGTATCCTAGCCTATAGCCACTACTCTTCTCTGGCTTTAATCCCTATTACATCACAATTTAATCACAAACTGGAGTTGTAGGTAGAACAGCACAGTTTAGGATGACGAAACAAAAAAAGAGATTAAGTGACTTGTACAAGCTCGAACTTTAATGATAAAATTATGATTAGGACCCATTTTCTAGTAACTCTTAGTTTAATGTCTATTATAAGGGACCAGCATAACATAGTTCTTAGAAGCACAGGATGTAAGTCACATTACACTTGCTCTATCATTTATGAAACTATGACCCTTAATATTAACTTGTATTCTTTCTGCTTTGGTTTCTTCATCTATAAAAATTGGAGTAATTAATAGCATCTATCTTCAGACAAGATTTTCTGAGATAAAATGCATAAAACACCTTGAATACTACCTAGTACATAGAAGCTCTCAATAAATTTTATCCATTCTTATTCTTCTATTATTATTCAATCAGCCTTTCAATGAGCATATACTATAAATACCCTATGTGCATTTGTCCTTTTTCTTTAATCCCTTGTGGAATCAAACTTCAGGTGGTTGGGGCCAAAAACAATTATAAAACATGACTAGGCCGGGCGCAATGGCTCACGTCTGTAATCCTAGCACTTTGGGAGACCGAGGTGGGCGGATTGCTGGAGCTCAGGAGTTCGAGACCAGCCTGGGCAACACGGTGAAACCCTGTCTCTACTAAAACAGAAAAAATTAGCCGGGCGAAGTGGTGCGCGCCTGTAGTCCCAGCTACTTGGGAGGCTGAGGCAGGAGAACTGCTTGACCCAGGAAGAGGGAGGTTGCAGCGAGCTGAGATTGCACCAGTGCACACTAGCCTTGGCGACAGAGTGAGATTCTGTCTCAAACAAACAAACAAAAAAACAAAAACATGACTAATCCAGTATGTACATACATAACGTTTCACTGGGACACATGCAAATAAGTGCTTAGCAAACATTAAAAGAAACTTGGGGCCTAAAGGAAATCAGAATTTTAAAGAATATTTCTACCTACTGAGTTGTCTACTTAGTGGCTACGTGAAATCAGTGTCTTCTAAATTTAGAATTTTACTGAATTCTTTCTTCATGGGATCACTTTATACAACACTGACAAAGTCTTCACAAGGCTACATTCTAAATCCAAGTAGCAAATAAATAGCAAATAAATCTTCTTCTGCCATTTTTTATCTCTTGTCTTTAACCACAACATTTCATTTTCTGCCCACATGGACTAATGCTTCTTCAAAGAAGTGGGCAGTGGTCAGAAAGCCTGAGTTCTCATTTCAATTCTCACACAAAAGTTAAAAGAAACTTGGAGCCTAAGTTTCTTGGGGCAACCTCAGGTTTGCCAATAATGGCACCACCTGCTCCCCCTATTTCACAGGCTTCCAAGAACAAAAACAGTGAAGACACATCATAAAACAGGGACATTTACCCAGGCTTCCATGTTCATTGCACAGAGTTAAAAAATATATATTTGTGGGGACTGTATCAATGTTTCTCCAAATGAAGGCATTTTAGATATCTGAAGCTCAAAGTCAAGAAGAATACGTTATTTACCTTTAAACAATGAAAACTGAATGATACTTTATTGCATTATACTGTAACCTAATCTGTTGCCCCAAAAGTTGGTATTTTAATCCACAACAAAGGTGACTCTTGACATTCTTAATTACATAGTGAAGGGGTTTTTGTTTTAAGATCTTCAATATGAAATCCACATCTGGGTTGAAGTTTTACTCTTTTCTACTAGTCGCATGTGACTTAGAACAAGCTATCTCAGCTCTTGGATTTTGTTTGCTTGTTTTTCGGTAATGGTTATTGTTTTGAATAAAGAAGAAAATTCCATCTTGTCTCACAGCTACCTATGAGGAGGCAAGTGAGATCATACACACCAAGTTATAAACAAGAAGGCACCTGTTCAACACTGGTTGCCCAGTTCAGTCAGCATCTGAGGCAGCAGTTTTCATTCAAGAGCTCCCACTTGAATTTCTAAAGTTGTATCAAGTGTATTCTCTAAGTGATGTGAGTTAACACAAGCCCACTGATCTAAAAATTGCAAGAAATTAGCTTAAAATCCCCCCACAAAAGAAATACAGGGTGAGCAGAAGTTTTAGCAAGAATATTTGCCATGATGTACAGTACTTACACTGCATTTTCTTGTTGTTCTCACTGCTTTTATATTACGGCAATGGCACAAGTAAATGTGGGGTGAGCTGATGAAAATTTCACTGCCCTGAAAGCACTATTTTAAGCATCAAGGTCTAATCATCCAACCTTACATATTTCAAGAGGTATATAACCTTCTCACTTTGAATCTGGCCCTTGGATATTGCCAGCCTGGAAGGTCTTCAGTTAAGACAGAAAAATAAACCTAAAAAGAAAATGTCTTCTTATCTTTTTCTCTAAGGCATGAGGTTTTACAAACTATGGTCTCATCTCATTAGTGGTTCTGATAAAAAAAAATCAGAATGTATAAGCACATGAAAAATTTTATTTCAAACACACATACAAGCACACTCACACACATACACACAGTGTTACACTGGGCTGTGGTTAAAAAATTTGAAAGTCGGCTGGGCGCAGTGGCTCACACCTATAATCCCAGCACTTTGGGAGGCTGAGGTGGGCAGATTGCCTGAGGTCAGGAGTTTGAGGCCAGTCTGGCCAACATGATGAAACCCTGTCTATACTAAAAATACAAAAAAAAATTAGCCAGGCCTGGTAGCATGCACCAGAAATCCCAGCTACTTGGGAGGCTGAAGAAGGGGAATTGCTTGAACCAGGGAGGTGGAGGTTGCAGTGAGCTGAGGTCACTGCAAAAAAAAGGCAAACCACAGAACAAGCTGTGATGGCACTTAAGGCTGCCACATCAAGAATGGAAAAGTAATCTTCCCACCAACTTTCCAATTACAGATATACAGTGTTTACTTGCTATAAACCACCTGATATTATGCAGAAACCAAACTAAATCCATAACTTAAAAGGTCATGGTTAAAACTGTTACAAAAGCCAGGCGCGGTGGCTCATGCCTGTAATCCTGGCACTTTGGGAGGCTGAGGCGGGTGGATCACGAGGTCAGAAGTTCAAGACCAGCATGGCCAAGATGGTGAAAGCCCGTCTCTACTAAAAACATAAAAATTAGCCTGGCGTGGTGGCGGGCACCCGTAATCCCAGCTACTCGGGAGGCTGAGGCAGGAGAATTGCTTGAACCCAGGAGGCAGAGGTAGCAGTAAGCTGAGATCGCGGCACTGCACTCCAGCCTCGGCGACAGAGCAAGACTCCATCTAAAAAACAAAAACAAACAAACTGATGCAAAGATGAAAAGAAAGGATAACAGTCACAAGGCAAAGGGCATAAACTGTGGGAACAGAGCACAGCAGAGACTTATATTTTTAAAATGTACAACATTCTTGAAATTCTCCCTGGAAGCCTTCTTCTGTTTGCTTTAAGGGAGCTTTCAGTGCTCTGTGCAAATACGTGGATTCAAATTCCACTTCTGCTAAATTCACATTAAATAAACTACCTGGCAAAAACATGTCAAAAGAAGTAGAAAAAAAGATGAATAAATGGAAATGTTACTACTAATCTCTTCAGGTAAAAGCCTCTTAAGCATTGTGGTATTTTTCTATAACATGTGAGCTCCTAAGACTGAAGAAATCATTTCAATCAACACTTCTGTTACTAGAGCTTGGTGATATCATGAATCATACAGGACCATGAAAACTCTCATCTGAAAAGGGTGAAAAAGAAAAATCAGAAAATTTTGTATTTATACCAGTTTTAATTGCTTAAATAGTTATTATGGTTTTTTGTGCGTTATCTTAATTTAAAATATGATATTTTCCCAAAGGAAAAATAATTTGTCATAACCGAATATTCTGTTATAAAACACAAACTTAGAAGAATCAATATTAACTTTCAACATGATGAATAAGTTATGGACCACAGATACAACCAGCACACATCATATATGTATAAGATGTCTCAAGTAGGGTTAGTACAAATACATCCTTATAAAAAATTCAACTAGTAATCTGGAGAATATCAGTTACTTGTATTCTTTATCTCAGCTAATGGCATTTTCAAATGCCCAGTTAATTCAATAGAAACAGTATGTAGAAAGAGTTTAGGTAGAAGACTGAGGCTGAAATACAGAATCTGCAATACAGTGATTGTGCGCATGGGCAGGTTATTACACTTTTCTGAGCCTCAGTCTTGCTGACTATAAAATGGCAATATTTATTTCAGAAGATTATTGTTAACATCATGTCACATAACATATGCAAAGGAAATCATATAATCACTGGTACCTACTAGAATCTAAACCAATCCTCAAATGACCAATCTTTCTTTGCCTTAGTTTTCCAGCATCTTTCTCTAAGTTGTTTCAAGTTTTCATCATGCAATCCATTGACTTTTTGACTCTCCACTCCAGGATATGTCCACTTATAAATTCTATACATGTACTACTCTACTATTATATTATAAAATACTCAAAAATAGCTTTTTCTTCTTCTTTTTTTTTTTTTGAGACCGGGTCTCACTGTCGCCCAGGCTGGAGTGCAGTGGTACGATCACAGCTCACTGCAGCCTTGTATCCTCCAACCTCAAGCATCAGCCTCCCAAGTAGCTGGTGCTACGGGCACGCACCACCACCAGTGGCTAATTATTTTATTTTTGTTAGTAAAGCCAAAGTCTCACTATGTTGCCCAGGCTGGTCTCGAACTCCTGGGCTCAAGCAAACCTCCCGCCTCGACTTCTCAAAGTCCTCGGATTACAGGCGTGAGCCACCATGTCTGGCCAAAAACAGCACTTTTAATAAGATGACACAAAGATAAAATGAAAAGTAGTTTTAAATATTGGCTTCACAATACTAGTTAATATCTCAAGGCATGATAAAATGTCAGGTAAAGTTCATACATAATAACAGTGGATGTAAATTCAGACTTCAAAGAATCTCTGTGATACTTCTGATTTTATTTGTGACTGTAAAGGCCTCGTCTCCCTAAATAATAATAATCAAGTAGGCTAAGCATGGTGGCTCATGCCTATAATCCCAACACTTTGGGAGGCTGAGGTGGGGGGATCACTTGAGTCAGGAAATTAGAGACCAGCCTGGGAAACATGAGACCACGTCTCTCCAAAAACAAAAAAAAACAAAAAAAATCAGCCAGATGCAGTGCCGTATGCCTGTAGTCCTAGCTACTGAGGAGGCTGAGGCCAGAGGATTGCTTGAGCCCAGGAAATGGAGGCTGCAGTGAGCTGTCATCATGCCATGCACTCCAGACTGGACAACAGAGTGAGGCCCTGTCTAGAAATTTAGAAAAAAAAAAAAGAAAATCTACTTGTAAACACTTTTAGATTTTTAAATACATTTCTTTTTCAAATCTTTTTTAAGTTTTTATTTTATTTGTATTTTTATTTCAGGAATAGCACAAAAGAATCAAATCTTTATTTTTGAAGGAGATAAATCCAAATGCAGAAGCATCTTTGAGTGCCTTAAATTTACATTTTATGATCCTTATAAATAGCAGTGTCTGGCCAGACACAGTAGCTCATGCCTATAATCCCAGCGCTTTGGGAGGTCAAGGTGGTGGATCACTTGAGGCCATGAGTTAGAGACCAGCCTGGCCAACATGGCAAGACCCCATCTCTACTAAAAATACAAAAATTAGCCAGGCGTGGTGGCGCACACCTGTAACCCCAGCTAGTTGGGAGGCTGAGGCATGAGAATCGCTTGAACCTGGGAGGTGGAGGTTGCAGTGAGCAGAGAGTGTATCGATGGATTCCAGCCTGGGTGATAGAGCGAGAGACTCTGTCTCAAAAAAAAAAAAAAAAAAAAGCAGTGTCAAACATCCCAAATAAACACAATTTGCCAACCAAATTAATAATCTTTGCTGGCCCAACTCTTCCTGCTGTCTAAATACTTCAAAATTATTAATTCTAATAAGTTGTTGACTCAAGAGATTTCTGAAGGTATCATCACTCCTGTTGATAATTTTCCTCCTACCAATAGCCAGTTACATGAGGAAAGGATTGATAATTCCAATGAAAAGACCTGGCTTCTTTTCTAACTATTGGAGAAACTTTAGAAAAACTTTAGGCAAATCCTTTAAACTCTATGAGCCTGTTTCCTCTTTGGTAAAAATGAGGATTGTATCCCTACAGAATGGGTGAATGCTTCCTAAAACAAAAACTCCCTCCAAATTCAGTTGTACCCGTGAAGTATTGCTGTTAAATCTAGAACAATGAATGTAAAGTTATAAGCCACAGAATACAACCTGGACCCTATCACTAATTTGTCAAGTAACCTTAAGAAAGTCAATCTCTCTGGGCCTAATTAGTAAAAGAGATTACTGGACCAAATCACTAGTTCCAATAATTGTTATGGGCGATGGAGCACTTGAAATTAACAAACGATGATCTTTGCATAACACGTTTCAGTGGGATAAAATAAAATATTGATTTACCAGCTAAGTTCAGTTCTATCACACACAGGGGATATCTTATGAATGGAAAATTCAACCATATTATATATATTAGAAATTTAAAAAATCAGCCTGGGCACGTTGGCTCAGGCCTGTAATCTCAGCACTTTGGGAGGCCAAGGCAGGAGGATCACTTCAGCCCAGTTCAAGAGCAGCCTGGGCAACATGGCAAAATCCTGTCTCTACAAAAAAAACACAAAAGACACAAAAATGAGCATGGTGGCGTACACTTGTAGTCCCAATTACTCAGGAGGCTGAGGTGGGAAGATCACCTGAGCCCAGGGAGGTCAAGACTGCAGTGAGCAATGATCACAGTACTGAACTTCAGCCTAGGCAACAGAATGAGACCTTGTCTCAAATAGGAAAAAAAAAAAGAAAAACAAAGAAAAAATCACAGCTACCAGCATACAAGGCTACAAAAAAAATTGGCTGTTTGAGGTTTCCCTCTTAATCTGTATTCATTTGTACCTGTTATTTCACTTTGAATTCAGGCTCGTACTCCCAAGCAGAGAAATGGTAGAAAATAATGAAAATTAAAAAAAAAAAGTGAAAAATCATAAATGAGGAAATTATGTTACCTAATTAAAAGAAAACAATCCTGTCATTAATTATTAATTATTTAATTATTTAATTTCAGTAGCAGAACTCCACACCCAAGCTCCTTAGAGCAGAGCTAGAAGATCAAGGCACCAGATACTCTCCAAGGTCCCTTTCAGCCCTAGGGACTCTGTTTCTGGTTTCCACTGCAATTTGCATTCTATTTTTATATGCTACATACTGTTCCAGGCACAAATAACCATGTAATATTTTTAATAGTACCTGATAAACTGATCATTTTAGTAAGAGTCCAGTAAACATTTATTTACACATTTACACACACCCACAGAAAGCAATCCTTGTATTCTGAGTCCACTGAAGACATCTCAGAAGCTCAATAAACACTGTTAACAGTACATGTTATTCCATACTAATTTAATAAACCAAGGACAAACTGTCTTTTCTTGCAAAAGACCCTAGCAATTAGATATTAAAATTTTCCTTGCACACTGCAGTGTATTTGTGACATATACTTGTGGCATGCATAAGATAAGCTAGTTCCAAAATAAACACAGTGGTAAATAGTAAGGAAAATCTAGTAACTACAGTTCCTCGTCTTAAGATCATGACATCTTTAGGCATTATTATTTCAAGTGTTACAGTCCTGAACTAAGTTAATGGACAAAAACAAGCCAAGGCACACTTATGCTAAACTATAAAATGTCTCACATATGTATCTCTGATTTCTAGTTAAAAAAAAAATTATAAACAATGTTAAAATGGAATACTTAAAACTTCACTGTTTTTCTTGGTAGAAATTATGTATTTGCTTATAAGAAACTTTCTAATGACATAATGTAGAAATAAATAAAAAACTGAGGATAGAAGCCTTATTCTGCTTTTTAAAATCTAGAGGTTTTCAAATAACTCAATCCCTTCATCAAGTCCACTCCTGCTCATTACAGAGCTTAGAATAGGATACACCAGTTCCTGTTCTCGCATTTTCATTTTGTCCCAAATATCATCCTGTCAACACAGAAACAATGCACATTCAAATAAGCATTTACAGAAAAAGCAAAAGAAGCCCAGCTCATTAGCTGACTGAAGACCTTTATGTTTCAAATACAAAAGGGGAGATGGAAGTCACAGACCACTCAAACAAGAAAACGGCAGGTTATTTGTTCCTTTAAAAAGGACTGCATCTTTTTGTGGAAGAGGATCTACTGGAATTATTTAGAAATATACAGCAGCTCTAATTTTTCTAAACATTTATCAATTCTTTCAGTATAGCTTTTGACTACTTTGGTCAAGTATTTCTAGATTAAGTACATTCTAGGGCATGAGGGCATGACCTGAACTTTATAACATTTTGATCAAAACAGATCCAAAATTAAATTAATGATAATATTTGGCAGCATCAATCTCATTAATAAGATTATGGATAAATCCTCCCACGAGTTACTTTGCTTTCTGAACCTATCTTTGAGTTTTGAGCAGAATAAATTCTCCCAAAGCTGGCAATTCCAACAACCAAGGGGTAGTATCCTTTTACTACAGTAGTCTCATGTGAGCCACTAAATAGAAATTACTCAGGTGCTATGAAAACAGAAAGAAGTAAAGAAAAATAGATTGACTAAAGGGTAACTGTTCATCCACTGTCCCCTTACAAATACATGCCTAGTCTCTGTTCCCCTGCAGCCACAAATTATGGCAATAGTCACATGGGTACATTCTAATCACATAGCAAAAGTATACACTATTACAGTGAAAAAATGGGCACAAGGTATCTCCTGAATTTCAAGCAATTTTAGATAGCTTTTAGTAATAACTATAGGAGAGCTATAATATTTGCCAAGATTTTATTGAAGTTATCTTTAAATAAACACTTGACATACTATTTTAGCAAAAACATCAGCTAGAAAAAGATATCTTCAGCTGTTAATGACAGTAATGCTTGCAGGGTTTTACACAACAGCTGAGAAGGTTGGATGGAGACTAGTGGTCTGCAAACTGAAAGTGCACTCGTCCACTGAAATGATTACTTTTTCTATTGTTATGCTACTACTACAGCAATCACAATAATTCCTTTTGCTTTTTAAGTATTCACAAAGAAAATAACAGGATAACAATCTAGTCTAGAACTCTGTGACTATCTGCTATTATTTAATTCATTTATAGCATAACTTTATGATTCAGAAGGCAAATATTTTCATACATGGAAGTTCTTAAAATGACAGAGGACTAAGTTTCCTGATTCAGGATACAGAAATCTTAGACTAGATCATGCTGCCTCCTAGAGGCCAAAGGTACATAAAAACACCTCTATTTCACAAAAAGTCTTTAATTTTAACAAAAATCACATACCCTCAAATTTGAGTCTTCATAAAAGCTGCACAGAACATGTCCTGCTTATTATCTTAAGGGACTCTATTTTCTAGTTTTTGGGTAAATACCTTTGTACGTTAAAATACTGAACTGATTAGGGAAAGTCTACTGCAAATGATCCAACCTTGAGGAGATAAAAGAAATGGCATAGATATTCTGCTATCACAGAAATGGAATATAATATTCCAAAATCTATACTATATGTTTAAATACAATTATCCTGGTATTTTAAAATAAACTATCTAAAAGGAATATACTACTATACTTCATGATACAGCCATATGTCTAAAAAGGCTCTAAATATAAATAAAAAATTTTATGTATAAGTATAATCTACTGAACAAAATGCATAAAGGTGTTTCAATAGAGCAAACATACTGACAATGAACACACATGCAATCAACTGTTGCTGCTAAATCCTCATTCACAATGTTATTGTCAAAGAAATTTGTAGAAAATACTGAGATGAATAAACTTCTTAATTCAAGGAAGTACAAGAACAATGCAATCTTCCTCGTTTCTTCTTGGCTGCCTGCTGCTTCATTGTGTTTGTATAATAAAAGATCTGGCAAGTTGCAAGTCTCAATGCATTCACATGGGCAATTCCATAGCAGAGTTACCTTGGGAATAAACATGCTCTCTGGCACAAAGAACCATTCTAAGTAGGTCAAAGCTCCCCCAAACTGTATTTAGATCACCAGATGTTTCAAAAAACACTTTAAAATTCTGTCACTTCACCCAGAAAGGAAGAAAAATTTAAAAATCACAGGATACACTGTCAGAACAAGAACACTGAGGATGAAAAAAGGCAACTTAAAAGAAAATGTTCTGAGACTCTAAATTGTACTGCGGTCAATTTAAGATACCAGCAAAATATTTGGTCAAAAGCATGCTTTATGATCCTATTGAATTTAATTTTTAAAAGTAAAACAAAACTACTACAATCAAAGACAAACAGGAATCAAAACTTACTTAAAACAATCATTTAGTATGAAGGAATCAGCAGCTGGGACCTATCACATTGACAGTATTTTAAAGCATTAGCGATTTTTAAAAAATAAAAGCTTAGAAAAGACTAGTGATTGGCCCTAACCTATGTGCCTATGAAATTAAGACCAACAACAACAACAAAAAGTTTTTAACCAGTAACTTGGTTTAAAAAATTCTCTTTGCTATAAAATCCTCAACTATAGGAAAATGTCTTAAGTGACAGAAGAAAGACCACTTCTCTTAAGGAAGAGAGGATGCTGCTCATTTCCACTCTGCTTTTTGGGCAACTGAGATTTTGCATTTCAAAGAACGAAAGGCTAATCCCTTAATGAAGGTACTAGAAAGAGTAAAAACCCTTGCATGCGGTACAAATGCTCATTCCTTCAAGTCACTCCCATATTACTCATCCAGTGTGAATGTTAGAGAAAAGAACATTGCTCTGCTCCTGGAACACAGAGAACTTGTCTCTCATGTCTCGTTATCAGTGTGCCTATTTCTCCTCAATGCTATCAGGAATTTAATAACTGGCTACCAGGTTAGGAAATAAACCTTTTTTTTTTTAATCATTTCACATTTTATCTTCAGTTGGGGCTTTTTATTAACAGCTAAACACTCACAGAAATCGAGTCCACAATCTTTCCCTGGTGGCAAGAGTCCACTTACAAAGAAAACCGTGGAATTATTCTTGATGAGAAGGAAATAAATAACACCACCTAAAATATTTTTAGATGCAAATCAGACTCCTAATATAAAGATAGTTTTGATCCATTCATTCAACAAATATTTAATGAACTCTATACATCAGTTGTTCAGTTAGGTACTGGGTGTGGATTAGTAAATACAACAGGTGTGAGCCTTCCCTCCTCAATCTAAAGAATGAGATAAATGAAAATCTAAAAAATAAAGTATGATAATAATTATAGAAAAAAGTTTTTGAAAGCCTGAAACAATGAGCCCAAGTTAGGCTTCTTCTAAGCAAGTTGGGCAAGTTAATTATCTGTCTGAACACCATTTTGCTTCTCTGTAGGATGAGCACACAAAATTTATCAGCCAAACTGGAGTTCTTATCCAGGACTAATGATAAATTAAGAGATCCTAGGCTGGGTGCAGTGGCTCACACCTGTAATCCCAGCACTTTGGGATGCCGAGGCAGGTGGATCACTTGAGGCCAGGAGTTCGACACCAGTCTGGCCAACATGGCAAAACCCCATCTCTACTAAAAATACAAAAATTAGTCAGGCATGATGGCGCATACCTGTGATCCCAGCTACTCGGGAGGCTGAGACACAAGAATTGCTTAAACCCAGGAGGTGGAGTCTGCAGTGAGCCAAGACTGTGCCACTCTGCTCCAGCCTGGGCAACAGAGTGAGGCTCTACATTTAAAAAAAAAAAAATATATATATATCTATATTATATATATATATATATATAATATATATATAAAATATATATATAATATAGATATATATACACACACACGTTTTATAAATCTTTATTACATAAAACTATTTGGATGTGTTAATAATTATCAAAGCTGGATGATGGGTAAATGGGGGTCATACTAGTCTTTACTTTGCATAAGTTTGAAATTTTCTATAATAGAAAGTTCAATAAAATTGTGTATCTAGTGCATTCTCATTTTTTGAGACAGAATCTCACTCTGTTGCCCAGGCTGGAGTGCAGTGGCACAATCACTGCTCATTGCACCCTCGACCTGCTAGGCTCAAGCCATCTCCCACCTCAGCCTGCTGAGTAACTGGGACTAGAGGCATGCACCACCATGCCCAGCTAATTTTTTCATTTCTTGAAGAGACAGAGTATCTGTATGTTGCCCAGGCTGGTCTTGAACTCCTGGGCTCACTCACATGATCTTCCTGCTTCGGCCTCCCAAAGTGCTGGGATTACAGACGTGAGCCACTGCGCCCCACTTATTCTTTACCATAATACACTCTTGGCTATTAAGAGTCATAGGGTTCAAAGGACAACAGTAGACTAGAATTCAAAGCAAGGAGAATGCTCAAATAAAATCATTCACCTACCATGTGATCACTGAAGCTTTACTTTTTGTGTAAATCTAACCAATTCAGCCAGTTGTATTACTTTGCAGTGTAACTGCATTTACAAATTGATATACCTACACTCAGATTAATCACTTCTTCAGTAGCTTCCTACTTGTCTACCAATATTTAAATATTGTCTATCAAAAATTCATTCATAGACAAATGAATGCATTAACTTGCTTTTGGAGGAACAGTTATCTGCCCACTGATGGCTGCAACACTGACCACTAGATTCATTACGATTGAGAGATGATATCTGAATTCTGTCTGGTACTTACTGGCAATGAGAATTCCACAAAAATTTCTATGTACCACAGGCAAAGACATAAATTTTTTTCCTATACAACTGTTTCCCAAATCACTGAAAAATAATAGTGAAACAGGATGGCTTCCAGAAGAGTTACTTCAGTAGAATAGACTTAACAAAAGGAAATGTAAAGAAGAAAAAGAACTTTAAAGTCAGCATGCTTTTTAATCAGTCAGAACCTTGGGAGTCATTAAACAATTGTTCACAGAGTGTCCACATTTACGTAGCTTCCTATAAATTAGGGTAAGCGCATAGAATAAAAAACATTCAGGAAGTTCTATTGTCCAACAAAGTGACTTGTTTTTGAAGAAGGATCTCCACGGGAACATAGCTCGGGCAGGTAGGAAACTCTGTTATTGTTATCTTTAGAATATCAGCATGATCTTAAGTAGTAACTTACTTTTTTTTTTTTTTTTTTTTTTTTTTTTTTGAGATGGAGTTTCGCTTTTGTTGCCCAGGCTGGAGTGCAATGGAGTGATCTCAGCACTGCCACTATACCCGGCTAATTTTTTGTGTTTTTAGTAGAGACGGGGTTTCGCCATGTTGGCCAGGCTGGTCTTGAACTCCTGACCTCGGGTGATCCACCCGCCTCGGCCTTCCAAATCCCTCCTGGGATTACAGGTGTGAGCCATCGAGCCCGGCCTTAAGTAGTAACTTTCAAACCTCATGCATTTTTCAAAGAAAAAAAAGACCTTTCTAAGGAATAACAAACACAAAAGAAACTAAATCACTAATGGTGATCTCTTTGATATAATTTTAAAATCAGAGAATCATAAATTTTGTGATAGTCTAGTTCTATTGGGCACTCTGATATGATTACAGACTCCATGCAATCCATAATCATGAGGATCACAGGCAGACACATGGGACTTTTAAGCAGGGTCTAACATCTTTGCATTTTATGTTGTTGTAGAAACATATGGCTTTACTACTTATACCTTAAAAAGTACTACATATAACATTTATGTAACATATCACGAGCTGTCTAATAATAATGTGCATAACCATTGATATGAGAATCAATACCCACAGGTAAATATATTCATCACTATAGTAGTTAAGGACAAAACAAACAAAAAGAAAATTAATTAGATAGAAGGACTGACCAAAAAAATGCAATTTAAGGTTAAAGGAGATAGGCAAGACCTCAATAAGAACTTTTGCTCTTTGCAAAGCTTCACCCAAATTATAAGCGAAGTCTAGTCCTTGTAGATGTGTCACACTTAAAAAGAGAACCAAGTGCAAGCCAAGTGAGGAGGGTGTGTCCATGTGGCAGTCACTGCAGCACAGGATGTCAGGCAGGGCCCAAGTGTATAGGACATCTGCACAGAGGGAGGGAGCAGCAGCAATGGGAGACTGGTTACACAGAGCAGGATTGACTAAGTAAGTAAGTTAGGGATAAAGGAACCAGGTTTCTCATTTTCAGGAAAAGAAGTTACAAATGGGGCAAGGGAGAAAACTGGAATGAATCCTGTGGTAAGATCAGAAGTGGATATGTCAGTATGAACAATTCATGACTTTTAGAGAGAGAGACAACATGTAAATGTGTACGTGTGTATGAATATATTCCCTACCTTTGTTCACCAAGAAAGCCTGAAAGGAGAAACAACCTTTGATCATACTTAGCAGACAGATCTTGGTTTGTATACACCCTTTTCCACTAAGAAACCAGGGCTCTTGGAGAAATCGCTGATTCTAGTAACAGGGTAGGGAAGAACAAGATGAGCCTAGAACATCTTGTGTCAGCTAGACATGCTCAAAGAATTATAAGAACTTGTCAAAAGAGAACAGAAGCCAGCTTGAAAGGGAAGTAAAAGATTATAATTTATTAGGAAATGGTGACTACACACTGATATAAATGAATAAACTTAAAGTGTGATAAAAAAAATAGGTGGCCTGGCATGGTGGCTCATACCTGTAATCCCAGCACTTTGGAAGGCTAAGGCAGGAGGATCTCCTAAATCCGAGAGTTCAAGACCAGCCTGGGCAACATGGCAAGACACTGTCTCCACAAAAATTTAAAAAATAAAAATAGGCCAGGTGCAGTGGCTCATGCCTGTAATCCCAGCAGTTTGGGAGGCTGAGGCAGGCAGATCACGAGGTCAGGAGATCGAGACCAGCCTGGCCAATATGGTGAAACCCCGTCACTACTAAAAATACAAAAATTAGCCAGGCATGGTAGCACGTGCCTGTAATCCCAGCTACTTGGGAGGCTGAGGCAAAAGAATCGCTTGAACCAGGGAGACGGAGGTTGCAGTGAGCTGAGATCGCACCATTGCACTCCAGCCTGGGTGACGGAGCAAGACTCCATCTCAAAAAAATAAAATAAATAAAATAAAAAAAAATAAATAAAAATAAATTAGCTGGGCATAGTGGTACATGCCTGTGGAACCAGCTACTTGGGAGACTAAAGTGAGAAGATCCCTTGAGCCCGGGAGGTCAAGGCAGGAAGTAAGGTGTGATTGCACCACTGCACTTTAGGCTGGGCAACAGAGCCAGACCCTGTCTCAAAAGAAAAGAAAAGAAATGAAACAGTTACATAGTCTTAAAGTTACTTCCCCACAAAATATTACAAAGAAGAAAAGAAATTTCACACTGGAGAAGCCAGGCAGACACCACCTTAATCAAGTGATCAAAGTAACAGCATCAATAATGGGACAAACAGAAATCATAAGTCACCTGATAAGATGCAATTAGAACACAGCATCAGTTCTATGACAGTCCCATCAAAGATGTCTAACCTGAATTCAATCACAAGGAAACCTCAGATAAACCCAAGTTTAAGGACATTCTACAAAACATTTGGCCTTTCACCTCTGGGTCATAAAAGTCAAGGAAAGACTAAGGATCTGTCCCAGGCTATAGGAACCTAAATAGACAGGATACTAAAAGCAATGGGTAATCCTGAAATTGATCCTTTTGCCATGAAGGGCATTATTGGTGCAACTGGTGAAACTTTAAATGGGATCTGGGAATTACATGGTAATAATGGATCAATGTTAACTTCCTGGTTTTGATAGCTATATTACAGCTATGTAGGTGCATGTCCTTGTTTGTTAAGACAAAAAAACAAAGGCACTAAATATACAGAAATGATGGGGCAGTGGGTAACTTACTATTAAATCAATTAGGAAAAAAAAATTTCTGTATATTTGAGATAGTTTTTGAAATTAAAAAATAATATATAGGAACCACATCTCGTGTAATTACCTGACTTTGATATCTCAGTTTCTCAGTCTATAAATGTTAATACTGTCTATCTCTCCAAGAGCATTATGAAGATGATTAAGTTACATAAAAATACAACATTTAGTTCACTTAGTGGAACGAAGGTTTTATTTATTATTTAATGTATTCATGTTCTAACCACACTTTGGAAACAGTCTAATCTGTCTCAGGAGCTGTCTCATGGTTTCTGGTTTTCCCCAGTTTTACCTTGCACTCCCTCCCACACATCCTCTCCTATACTGCAGCCTACAGGAAGTGATGAGGCTGCTCCTGTGTTACCGGACTGCTTCCCTTCTATCTTCTTTCCTTCCCCCTGCTAAACACACATTCCTACCTCAAGTCCAAGCTCAATCACCCCTTTTTCTTTTTTTTTTTTTTGCGATGGAGTTTCATTATTTGTTGCCCAGGCTGGAGTGCCGTGGCGCGATCTCAGCTCACTGCAACCTCTGCTTCCTGGGTTCAAGCAATTCTCCTGCCTTAGCCTCCCAAGTAGCTGGGATTACAGGCATGTGCCACCGCACCTGGCTAATTTTGTATTTTTAGTAGACACAGGGTTTCACCATGTTGGTCAGGCTGCTCTCGAACTCCTGACCTCAGGTGATCCACTCGCCTCAGCCTCCCAAAGTGCTAGGATTACAGGGGTGAGCTACCCGCGCCCAGCCAAGCACCCCTTTTTCTATGAGTCCATATGACTCTGCTCCATTTGCTCAGACAAAAATGATGGCTCCCTTCCCTTCTTTGTACTCCCACTGTACTTTCTACATCTATCCATCCTAATACCTCTAACACCATATTGCACTGTGATCTGCTTCCAGTCATTTTCCCTCTAAGATCATGGCTTACTTGCTGGCATGAACTCAAGCTCATCTTATGAATCAATCAAAGTGAATGAATGAGCAAGTGAGGGCATCCAAGAGGCCATGGTTAACATCTGCAGCATCTGAAGACTTGGGGACAGATCAGACATTCAAATCTATTCTTGCTGAACAGTTCGTCTTGTACCAATGTTCTTTCCTTCTGTAATGGGTAAAGGTTTTAGGGTTTGTTCCTTCCCCAACACAGACACAAAAACAAACAGTGAAAATATACACCTTCTGCCTCTAATAATGACCACAGAAAAAATAGGTGTACTTCTCTCTTACATATATTTCAACCAACAAATATTTGAGTGCCTGCTATGTGTGAAGCACTGTAGTAGATGCTAAGGACTCAAGTGAACAAATCAGACACGGTGTACTGAAGGGAGGGACAGCATTTTTGTTTGTATGTTTCAAACCTTGCCCTATCACGTATTTAACCAAGTTACACTTCTCTAATTTAGGCAAATAACAAAGCAAGTCATTCAGCATAAGTGATCTGACCTGTGTCACTGAGCGAATTTGGATGGCTCAGGACTAGAATGCTAAACCTTTCAGTTGTACATTTAATTCTGAGTTGTATCAGGTTATCTCATATATTACAAATGGGCCATCTCATTTAATACAACATGATACTGTAAATATTATAACTGTGTCACCTTAAGTCGGGAATCTAATGTTTAAAAAGAATGACAGTAAATTTTAACTCTGGAAAGGTTAAAGGTTAAAAGAATAAGTTTAGTAGCCTCTATTTGAGTCAACCAACCACACCCCATAAACTACTCACTGAGAAATGTAAAAATGGTTCTAAAACATGAAAGTCCAGTGAAGGAATAACAAAATTTAAGGGACCAAAGATTTAAATTTGTCCAATCCTAAGCCAATATCCTTTTTAAGGTAAGGGGTACAAGCAAGGGTTTTATTTTCAGCCTAATGACTCCCCAGATAAAATGGGTGACTACCTATAAAATAGTGGCAGCTCCACTACACAGAAAAATTTTCTCAAAGGAGTCATCGGTCTGGATGAGCTAGGAGACATGCCTTAAAGAAGCTTTCTCACAGCTTTGTATTTTCATAGTTTCCTTTAACCTATATGATTTATTTTGGGGGGTTTTGTGTGTATATAGGGACTCAAACAAAATAAAGGGACAGCTTTGCCTTATCCTTTTGTTACCTGGAACATTTCCACAGCCCAAGGCTGCTAACACACTGAACTGTCTGCTGCTCACAATAACTGGACTGTGCTTCCGGCTCTGGGCAGGATGCATGCCCCTCATTGCACCACTGCTAAATCCTACCTGTGCTCCAGGAACCAGATCAACATCACTTCCTGTACGCGCTGTTCCTCAGTGTCCCCACTGCAGGTCTTTGGTATCTCTACGCGCTCTAGGCATTATCACTTTTAAGCTTGTAGAACAAGGTATTGTGTCCTGTTTCTCCTCAGAATCACGCGCATGCTGTTGATAGGGCTCAGGACATGCTACTCCAAAATATGGCACGCTGGCACTTGAGGAAACAGCAAAAGCAGGAAGTTTGTTTCCTGTTTCCATGCCTCTTCTTCCCTGAAGCAGACCATAAAACCTAACTGACCTTTCCCTGATGTAGGTCTTAACAGCCTCATTTCAGGAACTGTTCCTATACCCGGAGGAAAGGAATGTCTTTATCTCTGTAGACACAGGGACACAGAAAAGAATCTGAACAAACAGGCCTTGCTAA
The DNA here is from genome assembly GCF_000001405.40 of Homo sapiens. Lineage (NCBI taxonomy): Eukaryota > Metazoa > Chordata > Mammalia > Primates > Hominidae > Homo > Homo sapiens. The sequence goes on along the minus strand of NC_000012.12, from coordinate 32,446,463 downwards.
GTACCCCTCGACCGTGTGTACTGCCATTAGACATAACCCCCGTATTCATCATACTGAAGCCTCCGCCTCTTAGTTACTGTTACATTGGGCTTCAGGTTTCAACATATAAATGTTGAGGGGGTGAGGGTGGGGGCTGGGCGACACAAACACTCAGACCCTAGCAGTGCACCAGCCATGAACCTTGTAATGAGTGGGGTTAAAAAAAAGACATTACTTTTTCTACCCTACCTTGTCTAGGCCATTCGAACTAGCCCACAGGCATGTTTCCCTTGGTCCACAAAACAAAGTAACATTTTATTTTTATTTTTTGAGACAAGGTCTCACCGCAGTTGCCCAGGCTGGAGTGCAGTCGCCTGATCTCTGGCTCACTACAGCCCTGACCTTCTAGGGTCAGGTGATTCTCCCACCTCAGTCTCCTGAGTAGCTGGGACTACACACCGGGCTAACTTTTTGTATTTTTAGTAGAGACGGGGTTTCTCCAGTTGCCAAGGCTGGTCTCGAAGTCCTGGACTTAAACAATCTGCCCACCTTGGCCTCACAAAGTGCTGGGATTACAGGTGTGAGTCACAGCACCCAGTCCAAAGTAACATTTTTAAATTAGCTACAAATGAAGGAATTTTAAATAAAATTCCAGTCTTTGGACTTTTCTTGCAAATTTGTTCCATAGGTAGAAGGTCCTTACAGTTATTTTGAATCTGTGTTTAACAAAGAAATTTTAGGCCCTTGGAAATAGTGTGTATCTTATTCATAACTTGCAGTATAGCCCAACTCCCAGTCTTGAATTATGCTTCATTCCACAAAATGACTGCTTATATGACCATTTGAAATGTGTAAATTCAATTTCAAAATAGCCAATGCACAGAGGCCCATTGATGAAATGCAATAAATATGTTTTCCAACTGCCATTTTCAGCATTCACAGAAACAACAGATTTTATTCAATAATCCTATCATGAGATGTGTTCTTCAGTCCTCACCCAAATAAAAAGCCATTGTCTTACAGACAATCCCCAATTTGCAACCTAATCATTCCTAAGCAATGGTCCACGAGTAAATCAAAGTCAAATTTCCTAAAAACCTATTTTATACCACAGAAATGGCAAAATAAGATGAAGAGAGGAAAATCTCAATGAGGACTTTTTACAAATATTAAACATATAAAAATTTATTTTAAAACAGTCACATTATGAATATTGTATTCCTTTCAAAGGATTTCTTTCTTGTAAGGACTAGCCAGACTGAGATTTCCCTAAATACTTTACTAGGCACCTACTTCTTTCTCTAGCAAATCTTATGAAGGCAAGAGTGGGCTGTTCTGTCTCTTTAAGGACCTTTGAACTACCTTCACACTTCATTTGTCTCACATTCTTTCACGGTTAATTCATCACTTTTGGCACACACCCAAAAGTCTCCATCTGGTAAATGTTACAGGAAGGTACATATCTGCATGGAACTTACTCATCAATGACCCTTGCTATTCTATCTCGATTTTGCTAAATGTTGGTAAATGATATTCTAATAAGTCAAACATATCTATTAATAATATCAATCACCATTTCAAATATATTCATTACACAATTTGGTAGAAAGCATTTACATTATTACAAATTTGGAACGGCGTGTCTACTTAAAGGTTGGCAAATCTTTCTGCTGAATTCTGAAGAAATACCCACCCATCCTTTATCTTCACCTCAGGTCTCACCTTGCCACAATTAAGCACTTTTTGAAAGGAGAAAATTCTTGTCAAAAATCATTGCTTAGGCCATGCGCAGTGGCTCACACCTATAATCTCAGCACTTTAGGAAGCCGGGGCGGGTGGGTCACCTGAGGTCAGGAGTTCGAGACTAGCCTGGCCAACATGGTGAAACACCGTCTCTACTAAAAATACAAAAATTAGCTGGGTGTGGTGATGGGCGCCTGTAATCCCAGTTACTCGGGAGGCTGAGGCAGGAGAATCACTTGAACCCGGGAGACGGAGATTGTGGTGAGCCGAGATTGCACCACTGCACTCCAGCCTGAGCAACAAGAGCAAAAATCCATCTCAAAAACAAAAAACAAAACAAAAAAAAATTGCTTAATTCAGAGTTCCATGGAACTGCATTAAAACAAGTCAAAGTTTTCTATCTTGAAAATCAGCCTGTTGGCTGGGTGCAGTGGGTCACGCCTGTAACCCCAGCACTTTGGGAAGCCAAGGTGGGAGATCACTTGAACCCAGGAGTTCAAGACTAGCCTGGGCAACATAGTAAGACCCTGTCTCTATAAAAAATTTTAAAATGTGCCAGGTGTGGTGGCTCATGCCTGTAGTTCCAGCTTCTTGGGAGGCTGAGGTGGAGCATTGCGTGAGCCTGGGAGGTCGAGACTGCAGTGAGCCATGATGGCACCACTGTACTCCAGCTTGGGCAACAGAGTGAGACCCTGTCTCAAAAAAAAAAAAAAAAAAAAAGAAAACAAAGTCAGCCTGTCCACTTTACATGGGTGAATTGTATAATATGTGAACTACATCTCCATAGAATTGTTTTTCAAAATAAGTAAATCTGTCGATTTTTTAAAAATCACAACTTATTGCTTGAGTTTGGTTTTAGGCTCTTTGAAATAAATATTTTTCCTTCTTCAAAATTGTCATAATAAAATACAAAACACTGAACTTGAAGGCTGCACCATTCACTTTCATTCTGGCTTTTTTTTTTTAAAGAGAAAGACAACCTGGGCAACATAGTGATATCCCATCTCTATAAAATATACAAAAAAATTAGGGCTTCTCCATGTTTCGCCACCACTAGGTGTGGCGCTGCATTCCTGTAGTCCCAGATACTCCAGAGGATCACCTGAGCCTGGGAGTTCGAGGCTACAGTGAGCTGTGATCGCACCACTGCACTCCAGCCTGGGTGACAGAGTAAGACCCTGCCTCAAAAAAAAAAAAAAAAAAAAAACCTAAAACACAAGATCTCAGCCAGGCATGGTAGTGGCATGCCTGTAGTCCCAGCTGCTCAGGAGGCTGACGCAGGAGGACTGCTTGAGCCCAGGAGGTCAAGGCTACAGTGAGCTATGATTGCACCACTGCACTCTAGCCCAGGTGACAGAATGAGATCCCATCTCTAAAAACAACAATAAACCAAAAAAACCAGGGGTCTTGTTCTGTTGCCCAGGCTAGACTCAAACTCCTGGGCTGAAGTAATCTTCTCAAGTAGCTGGAACTACAGGCCTAGCCAATTTTTCTATTCTTGATGTCAGATTGTCAGACATAACTCCTGTTACTGTGCCTATGTCTAAAAGCACCCTACTATGGACTTATATCAAACTAAAAAGCTTCTGCACAGCCAAGGAAACAATAAGAGCAAAGAGACAACCTATGGAATGGGGGAAATATCTGCTAACCATACATCTGGTAAGAGGTTAAATCCAAAATGCATAAAGAATTCAACTCTAATAGCAAGAAAACAACCAAATTAAAACATGGGCAAAATACCTGAATAGACATCTGTCAAGACAACAAATGGCCAACAGATATATGAAAAATGCTCAACATCATTAATCAGAGAAACACAAATTAAGACCACAATGAGCTATCATCTCACACCTGTTAGAATGGCTACTATAAAAGATGGAAGCCTGGACACAGTGGCTCATGCCTGTAATCCCAACACTTTGGAAGGCCTAGGCAGGTGGATCACCTGGGCTCAGGAGTTCGAGACCAGCATGGGCAACATGGTGAAACTCTGTCCCTACAAAAAATACAAAAAATTAGCTGGGTGTGGTGGTGTGCCTGTAATCCCAGCTACTCGGGAGGCTGAGACAGGAGAATTGCTTGAACCCGGGAGGCAGAGGTTGCAGTGAGATCGCACCACTGCGCCCCAGCCTTGGAGACAGAGTGAAACTCCATCTCCAAAAAAAAAAAAAAAAAAAGGATGAAAGATGGGAGAGGCAGAGCAAGATGGCAGAATAGAAAGCTCCATCTATCACCCCACCCCACCACAAGGACACCAAGTTAACAACAATCTACACAGAAAAAAACACCTTCATAAGAACCAAAAGTCAGGTAAGCACTCACAGTACCTGGTTTTAACTTCATATCACAGTGAAACATGCACTGAAGAGACAGAAAAAACAGTCCTGGCCGGGCGCAGTGGCTCACATCTGTAATCCCAGCACTTTGGGGGGCTGAGGTGGGTGGATCACAAGGTCAGGAGATCAAGACCATCATGGCTAACACGGTGAAACCCCGTCTCTACTAAAAATACAAAAAATTAGCCAGGTGTGGTGGCACATGCCTGTTGTCCCAGCTACTTGGGAGGCTGAGGCAGGAGAATCACTTGAACCCAGGAGGCGGAGGTTGCAGTGAGCCGAGATTGCACCACTGCACTCCAGCCTGGGTGACACAGCGAGACTCCGTCTCCAAAAAAAAAACCAAAAAAAAAAAAAAACACAACAACACTCCTGAATTGCCAGCACCACCCTTCCCCCACCCTGAGAGCAGCAGCATGGCGTGAAGAGCATCTCTGGACACTGGAGGAGAAGACAACAATTTTGAGGCATTGAACTCAGTGCTGTCCTGTTAGAGCAGAAAAGAAAACCAGACCAAACTCAGCAGACCCCTGCCCACAGAGGGAGCGTTTAAACCAGCCCTAGCCAGAGGGGAATCGCCAATCCCAGTGCCCACAAACCTAGGGCCAAAGTGCTTTTGGTCTCTAAGTAAACTTGAAAGGCAGTCTAGGTCACAAGGACTGCAACTTCTAGGTGAGTCCTAGGGCTGAACTAGGCCCAGAGACAGTGGACTAGGGGGACAAGCAACATACTAAGATACAAACTAGTGCAGCCAAGGGAGTGCTGGCATTACCCCTCCCCTAATTCCAGGTTGCGCAGCTTGCAGCTCCAAAAGAGACACCTTTCTTCTGCTTGAGGAGGAAAAAGCGGGGAGGACGTTATCTTGCATTTTGGACACCAGCTTAGCCATAGCAGGAAAGGGCACCGTAGTCAGAGTCACCAGTCCAGAGTCAAGAGGCCCCTGTTCCAGGCCCTAGTTCCCAGATTACACTTCTAGACACATCCTGGGTCACAAGGGAACCCGCTGCCTTGAAGGAAAGGACCCAGTCCTGGCAGCATTCATCACCAGCAAAGTGAAGAGACTTTAGACGCTGAATAACCAGCAGAGATACCCAGGTACTACACTGAGGGCTTTGGGTAGCCACTGAGACTTGCTGACTTCAGGCAAGGCTCAGCACATTACCAGATGTGACAGCTACAGGGCAAAACTGCTGCTTGAGAAAAGCAGAGGGAAAAGTAAAGGGGACTTCATCTTGCACCTTAGGTACCAACACTGCCACAGGAGGGTAGAGCATCAAGCGAGCTCTTGGGGTCCCTGGTTCCAGACCCTGACTCTTGGATGGCATTTCTGGACCTGCCCAGGCCAGAGGGGAGCCCACTTCCCTGAAGGGTGAGTCCCAGGCCAGGCAGCATTCACCACAGGCTGACTTAAGAGACCTTGGGCCTTAAAGGAACATCAGTAGTAGTCTGGCAGTACTCTTTGTGGCAAGGGGTGGCAGTGGCTATGGGATGAGGCTCTTCTGCCTTTGGAAAAGGGAGGGAAGAGTAGGAAGGACTGCATCTGGTGGTTTGAGTGCCAGCTCAGCTGCAATACACTAGATTACCAGGTAGACTTCTAAGGTTTTTGATTCTAGTTCCTGACTTCTGGCTGTGGGGGACCTTGCCGCCCTGAAGGGAATGGCACAGGCCTGGCTGGTTTAGCCACTTGCCAACTGCAGAGACCCAGGGCCTTGAGCGAACATAGGCAGCAGCCAGGAAGTAGTTATAGCAAACCTTGGGCAAGATCCAGTGCTCTCCTGGCTTCAAGTCTGACGCCGTGTAGTCATAGTGGTAGTGGCCACAGGGGTTCAGTTATAGTGGTGGTCACAGGGGTCACTCTACCCCCAGCTTTATGTGGCTCAGAACAGAGACAGGGACTCTGTATGTTTGGGAGAAAGTAAGGGAAGACAACAGGAGTCTCTGCCCGGTGATCCAGATAATTTTGCCGAATCTTGTCCAAGATCGTCAAGGTGGCATTATACCTCTATGAGTCTGCAAGAACCACAGCATTACTGAGCTTGGGGTGCCCCCTAAAGCAGAAACAGCTTAGATCACAACAGCCACATCCTTTCAAATACCTGAAAAGCCTTCCCAAGAAGGATGGGCACAAACAAGCCCAGACAAGGAAGACTACAATAAATACCTAACTCTTCAATGCCCAGATACTGAAGAACATCTACGAGCATCAGCGGCATCCAGGGAAACATGACCTCACCAAATGAACTAAATAAAGCTCCAGGGACCAATCCTGGAAAAACAGAGATATGTGACCTTTCAGACAGTGAATTCACAATAGCCGTGTTGAGGAAACTCAAAGAAATTCAAAATAACATAGAGAAGGAATTGATAATTCTATCTGATAAATTTAACGGAGATTGAAATAATTAAAAAGAATCATGCAGAAGTTCTGGAGCTAAAAAATGTAATTGGCATCAGGGTCTTTTATTAGCAAAATAGATTAAGCAGAAGAATTAGTGAGCCTGAAGATAGGCTATTTGAAAACACACACAAGAGACTAAAGAAAAAAAAAATGAAGCACACCTACAGGATCTAGAAACTAGCCTCAAAAGGGCAAATCTAAAAGTTATTGGCCTTAAAGAGGAGGCAGAGAGAGCGATAGGAGCAGAAAGTTTATTCAGTGGGATAATAACAAAGAATGTCTCAAACATGGAGAAAGATATCAATATCCAAGTAAAAGGTTACAGAACACCAAGCAGATTTAACCCAAAGAAGACTACCTCAAGGCATGTAATAAACTCCCAAGGGTCAAGGACAAAGAGAAAAAGGAAATCTTGTACATTGCTGCTAGTAATGTAAATTAGTATAGCCATTATGGGAAACAGTATGAAGGTTCTTCAAAAAATTATAAATAGAATGGCCATATAATCCAGCAATCTCACTACTGGGTAACTGGGTATGTATCCAAAGGAAATGAAATCAGTATGTCAGAGTTATCTGCATCCCCATGTTCACTGCAGCACTATTCACAATAGCCAAGATATGGAATCAACCTAAGTGTTCAGCAACAGCTGAATAGAAAATGTGGCATAGATACACAAGGGAATACTATTCGGCCTTTAAAAATAAAGAAATTATGTCATTTGTAACAAGATGGATGAATCTGGACAGCATTATGTTATAAGCCAGACACAAAATGACAAATACTGCATGATCTCAACTATATGTGGAATCTGTAAAAGTTAAACTCATAGAAGTTGAGAGTAGAATAGTAGTTACCAGGCACTGGGAGTTGGGGGTGCAGTTTTGGGGAAATGTTTGGTCAAAGGATACAAAATTTCAGTTGGATAGGAAGAATAAGTTCAATAGATCTATTGTACAACATGATATCTATAATAATTATTAGTAAATTATAAGTGAGGTAATACATATGTTAATTAGCTCGATCAAAAAATGAAGACACTGGTCAAATCGATCGAATCATTCCACAACGTATTCATATTTTAAAACATGTTGTAGGGCCGGGCGCAGTGGCTCACGCCTGTAATCCCAGCACTTTGGGAGGCCAAGGCAGGCGGATCACGAGGTCAGGAGATCGAGACCATCCTGGCTAACATGGTGAAACCCCGTCTCTACTAAAAAAAACACAGAAAATTAGCTGGGCGTGGTGGCGGGCTCCTATAGTCCCAGCTCCTCAGGAGGCTGAGGCAGGATATTGGCGTGAACCCGGGAGGTGGAGGTTGCAGTTGAGATCGCGCCACTGCACTCCAGCCTGGGTGACAGAGCGAGACTCCATCTCAAAAAAAAAAACACACACAAACAAACAAACAAAAAACATGTTTTAGGTGACTAGTATATAAAATTTGACAATTAAAAAAACAACTAAAAGCATCCTCCTGTGTCCACTTACTTACAGATACATTCACATACCTCTCCTAATTTCAACTGCTCAAGGCAGTTGAAACCTAAAAGCAAGCTTATTGAAGAATCTGCTAAGAGAAGGCTAACATTTTGAATAAAGTACAGTAAGTACAGAGTTTTCAACTTTATCTTAACGGCAGATATTTTTACCTTTGTCATCTTCAGCTGATGTCTTAGGAGTTAACTGTTATCCCAAGTCCGCTCTATGGAAGTGCAGTATTGTTAGATGCTATACCTCTCCAAACCATTTCAATAAGGCAAGTGAGAAGTCAGTATTTTCTAAGATGGGAAGAAATGGTTCAAGAACCATTCCTGGCCAGACGCGGTGGCTCACGCCTATAATCCCAGCACTTTGGGAGGCCCAGGCAGATGGATCACTTGAAGTCAAGAGTTTGAGACCAGACTGGCCAACACAGCGAAACCCAGTCTCTACTAAAACTATAGAAATTACCCGGACATGATGGCGTATGCCTGTAGCCCCAGCTACTCAGGAGGCTGAGGCAGAAGAATCGCTTGAACCCGAGAGTAGAGCCTGCAGTGAGCTGAGATTGCGCCACTGCACTCCAGCCTGGGTGACAGAGCAAGACTCTGTCTCAAAGAAAAGATCCATTCCTGCATAGTCCTACCTACAACACAGGAGACCAATAACAATGTAAAAAAATAATTTTCCCAGTGGCCAAGAATGTTATCAGTGGTATATACAATGTATCAGTGGTATTGTGTGGTATGCAGGGTAAGATGAAATAGTATTCAACATCAATAGCAGGATTATGTCTAGAAAAAATTTTGCTTTTACTAAAAATGAAAAGACACTGGTCAAATGCAAACCATCCAAAGAGTAACAGGGAATTCATATTACATGTTAATATAACATTACTTTCTAAGACTTTAGGAACAAATAAAAACATCTGCTTATGTGAAATCTGCTGGTTTTACTCAATGAATACCACGGATATCCGTGTAGTGAAGCTCTGGTAGTTGCTACATGAGCTTTATCAAACATCTTTAAAAAGGCCTGGGCCAGGCTGCCCAGTAACACATCTGGGTGCGGTTGGACACCTCGCCTCGCTCATCGTATAGGGAGCATAAAGAGCCTCCGTGCTCAGCCACGTGTAGCTGACATGGATTTCCTGAGCAGAGGGCTTTTCTTTCTTTTATGGGTGTCCCAGCTTCTTCAAGACCTTCACTACTCTGCCTCAATGAACAGTCATTTCTGTTTTGAGGTGTAACCTTTTGTTTTCATACCTTCAGCTTGAAGTCATCCTATGTTTTGTAATCAGCCGTCTGGCCAAACGTCTGACCCGAAAGAGAATGTATTTACATTCCTGCTGCATTGTTCAGCAGCCCCTTCATGTTCTGTGTGATTTGTTTTCTTTTTCCCTTTTTTTTTTTTTTTTGACATGGAGTCCCACTCTGTCACCCAGACTGGGGTGCAGTGGTGCAATCTCGGCTCACTGCAAACTTCACCTCCCAGGTTCAAGCAATTCTCCTGCCTTAGCCTCCCACATAGCTGGGACTACAGGCGCCCGCCACCATGCCTGGCTAATTTTAGTAGAGACAGGGTTTCACCATGTTGGCCAGGCTGGTCTCGAACTCCTGATCTCAAGCTATCCACCTGCCTTGGCCTCCCAAATTGCTGGGATTACAGGCATGAGCCACCATGCCTGGCCCCCATTTTTTGTTTTTTATATGCAGGGAAGTAATGGTACTGGTAGTGTAGGTTCACTGTGTGGTTCAAACATGAATTTCCAACACACCAAGCTGCTAATGAGATAGCAGCTTTTTTTCTGGGACCTAGTGTCATAACCAAATTGATTTAAGACCAGACCCAAGACACCTTTAACGATAGGATTAAAGGGAAAAGGGATAGGGAAAAAGCTTATTAAGAAATTTATCAACAGTAAAAGTAAAGCGGGAGAAGCACAACCAGGCGTAACACCAAACTGGTTCAAGGGAGAAACAAGGCTTTGGCATTCTGCTGGCTCCAGTGCTTCCTCTGAAACCTGAGGCTTGCCAATGTGTGGACACTGTGCAGTCTTTTATTGCAGCCATTCAATGCCCACATGTTTTGCCTTCTTGTTTCAGAAAAGCACAAAGTCACAACAAAGTATTTTCTTTCCTTCCAAAGCCTTTTGTCTCCTTGTGCCACTTTTTATCCTTAGGAAAAGATACAGGTGTTCCTGAAAAGAACCATAAATGGAACAGGGGAGGCTGGTCCTGTTGCTGTTGCTGATTAAGTTTTAAACTTTTATTTATTATTTATGTGTGCTGTATTTTAAATAAACATTCTCTCTCCTTCCACTTCCAGTCATAGTGTGCCTGTAGCATTCCAGTCCAACCACATAATTTATTTATTCTAATAGGAGGGCTACACTGTACATCACGGTGTCCAGTGACAACTTGTTCCAGACATTTACAGAAGGAAAATATCCTAGGTAAATGAAATCGTCATTCTGTGTCCTCCCCCGACAGCAGATATGTCCTTCCGTTGAGTGAGGATAACCTTATGTCCACCAAGGGTACTTTGAGAAAGTCCCTAAGGAGCAAGCTTCTGTCCCACTGTTTCAGAGTATTTATTCTTTGAACACGAAAGTATTGGTTAGTTATGTTCTCAGCTCTCCTTGCTGTTGCATTTGGGCACTCACTCACTGCAAGTAACTTAGATCTTTTTATTTGAATGAATTTTAAAGCAGTAAGTAGAATTACAAAGGAATATGAAAACCATGGACTAGATGGACCATTTTATGTAATCAGAAAGCGGGGCCACCCATCACTGCCAGAAATACCATGTAAAAATTGGCAATTCAGAGGTTGCAGTATTTAGTACAATAAATAAATAAATGATCAACATTGTGTAATCACTAACAAAAAGTGTCATAATGCACCAAAAAAATCAACAAAATTATATTCGCTAATGAGTATCAATAAAATAAGTTCGAATGATGGAAACCACAAAAAAAAGGCCAATTCCAACTTAGTCATTTAAAACACACACACACACACACACTTTTTTAATTGTAGCTAGCATTTATTGAGTACTGAATATGTAAATATATCATTTTATGAGCATTACTCTATTTAATCCTTCATAACTTCTGAAATGAGACCTTTGATTATCCTGATTTTATAAATAAACAGCCTGAGAGAAACTGACTCACCCAAATCTGTGAATTAGCAGAGGCAGCATTTGAACCCAGGCCTGTCTAACTCCTGAGCTAGATCTCTCAACTAGTTTCATTTCACTTTAAAGAAATGAAGTGGCCAGGCACGGTGGCTCACACCTGTAATCAATCCCAGCACTTTGGGAGGCCAAGGTGGGCGGATCACCTGAAGTCGGGAGTTCGAGACCAGCCTGACAAACATGGAGAAACTCCATCTCTATTAAAAATACAAAATTAGCCAGGCGTGGTGGCGCATGCCTGTAATCCCAGCTACTCGGGAGGCTGAGACAGGAGAATCACTTGAACCCGGGAGGCAGAGGTAGCGGTGAGCCAAGACTGTGCCACTGCACTCCAGCCTGGGCAAAAAAAAGAAAGAAAAGAAAAGAAAAAAAAAAGAAAAGAAGGAAAGAAAAGAAATGAAGCGAAGCTGCTCCTCTCAGAAAAGAAATTTGTATCATTCACCACTATATTTGATTTTTTTCATCTTATTCAATCCTCTGACTCATATATAGCACACTGACAAAATCTGGTCAAAACATCATATGGTGCCTCAACACATTGTGTAGATTTTTGCATCAGAATAAATGTGTACCTTGTTAACAAGTTAACCATGTTCTAAATGTCAATATCTACAAAAGTTTAAAGCACATTCCCATTTTTCTAGCATAAAGCAATGAGAAGGCAATTAAGTTAATGACATTCATGAAGAAATCACAGAGCTACTGGAATCACAAAAGTCATAATTTACATGAAGGAAATAACCTTCCTGAGGAATACAGTGTAATTAAGGCTTTCCTCTTTGAAAAGGCCTAACATTTCTAAGGAGCTAAGAAATGAATTTAGCCTACAAATTCAAACTTATTTTTCGTGTGTACAAAATTTATCCAACTTGAAGGGAGAAAGAAACTATTTTCAATATTCTAGCTGTAAAAAACTGTATTTAAAACTATTACTGCTCACCTGAGTCTTCGTTCTCCAATCACAGGATAATCAACTTTTCTATGAATTAGAAGCATCTAATGCAAACTCACACAGAACAAATTACCAGTAAGTCTCTCCTCCATTTTATAAGCAGCGACAAAGTTTTAGAACATCATAAAAGAGCTAGGAACAGACAGGGTCTGTGAGGAACTTAGAAAATCAAGGGGAAGGCCCAGCTTGTTGTGCAATTCAGGTTTAAATATATTATCAGGCCGGGCACAGTGGTTCATGCCTGTAATCCCAGCACTTTGGGAGGCTGAGGCGGGCGGATCACGAGGTCAGGAGATCAAGACCATCCTGGCTATCATGGTGAAACCCCATCTCTACTAAAAATACAAAAATTAGCTGGGCGTGGTGGTGCATGCCTGTAGTCCTAGCTACTCGGGAGGCTGAGGCAGAAGAATCGCTTGAACCCAGAAGGCGGAGGTCGCAGTGAGCCAAGATCACGCCACTGCACTCCAGCCTGGCGACAGAGCAAGACTCCGTCTCAAAAAATAATAATAATAAATAAATAAATAAATAAGTAAATATATTATCAGGTAGTCAATCCCTTTGCTTTACAGAAGGATGTTTCATTGCATCCCATGATACAAAATTTTAAAGATGTAACTTTGTCTCAAAGCAACAATTAACAGTGATATGGCTAACTTCAATAGCTAGAATTAGAGGATGCTTCGTTACATAAAACATGTACTTTTGAAAGCTACATTAAAAAAATGCACTTTTAGGCCAGGTGCGGTGGCTCATGCTTATAATCCCAGCACTTTGGGAGGCCGAGGTGGGCGGATCACCTGAGGTCAGGAGTTCAAGACCAGCCTGGCCAACATGGTGAAACCCCGTCTCTACAAAAATACAAAAATGATGGCAGGTGCCTGTAATCCCAGCTACTCGGGAGGCTGAGGCAGGAGAATCGCTTGAACCTGGGAGGCAGAGGTTGCAGTGAGCCGAAACTGAGCCACTGAACTCCAGCCTGGGTGAAAGAGCAAGACTCCGACTCAAAAAGAAAAAAAAAGAAAAATGTATTTTTAAAGTGAATCAGCTGACAAGGAAATTTATGTTAAAGTATCTTATTCCAGGCTGGGCATGGTGGCTCAATCCCAGCACTTTAGGAAGCCGAGGCAGGTGAGTAACTTGAGGCCAGGAGTTCGATTCCAGCTTGGCCAACATGGGGAAACCCAATCTCTACTAAAAATACAAAAATTAGCGAGGTGTGGTGGTGCACACCTGTAGTCTCAGCTTTTTCGGAGGCTGAGGCATGAGAATTGCTTGAACCAGGGAGGTGGAGGTTGCAGTGAGGTAAGATTGTGCCACTGTACTCCAGCCTGGGCGACAGAGTGAGACCTTGTCTCAAAATAAAAAAAAAAAAATCTTATTCCAGAAAAATATGGAAACCAGGCAAAGAAAATATTAAAGGGGCAAGAAGGTGATAAAGTTTCTATGTAAACTAGGTTTTTATATATTGAGCTGGCATTAAAATATGTATTTTGAAAATTAGCACTCAACAGGATTTCAGTCACTCACTCATTCAATTAATTTAACAAATAATATGAGCCAGGAACTCTTCTAGGTGTTGGAGAGACAGCAAAGAACAAGACAGGTATAGTCACTGCTCTTACAATGTTAACATGAAGGTTCACGTTCATGTTAAAGGGATTCACCAAATGACTAAAAAAGTGATGAAGAACCCTTCTCTGTATATAATGCTCTCAACTTTATAAAATGAAGGGCCAACCCCTATTACTACCTTTTTTTTTTTTTTTGAGATGGAGTCTTGCTCTGTCACCCAGGCTGGAGTGCAGTGGCGCGATCTTGGCTCACTGCAACCTCCGCCTCCTGGGTTCAATCTCAGCCTCCTGAGTAGCTGGGATTACAGGAGTGTGCCATCATGCCCAGCTAACTTTTGTATTTTCAGTAGAAATGGGGTTTCACCATGTTGGCCAGGCTGGTCTCGAAATCCTGACCTCAAGTGATCCACCCGCCTCGGCGTCCCAAAATGCTAGGATTGGTCGGGCGCGGTGGCTCACGCCTGTAATCCCAGCCCTTTGGGAGGCCGAGGCAGGCGGATCACGAGGTCAGGAGATCAAGACCATCCTGGCTAACATGGTGAAACCCCACCTTTACTAAAAAATACAAAAAATTAGCTGGGCATGGTGGTGGGCGCCTGTAGTCCCAGCTGCTGGGGAGACTGAGGCAGGAGAATGGTGTGAACCCAGGAGGCAGAGCTTGCAGTGAGCCAAGATCAGGCCACTACACTCCAGCCTGGGCAACAGAGCGAGACTCTGTCTAAAAAAAAAAAAAAAAAAAAAAAAAAATGCTAGGATTACAGGCATGAGCCACTGTGCCCAACCAGGGCTCCCAATTTTAAATAAGGTGCCCAGAGACGGCCAGAAGATCCGTTTAAGTAAAGGCTCAAAGGAGATGAGCTCAATACTTTTTAAAACTTAAAAGGTTTCAAATATCTGAAACTTCATATTAGTCACACCTTTCAGGTTTACCATAAAATTCTATTTGTGTAATTGTATCAATTAACTCATGAGCAAGGAGAAAATATTAGAAGAAAAAAAGGGGAATTATTTTCTTTTTTTTTTTTTAAGACAGAATCTTGCTCTGTCACGCAGGCTGGAGTGCAGTGGCACAATCTTGGCTCACTGCAACCTCCACCTCCCAGGCTCAAGTGATCTACCCGCCTCAGCCTCCCAAGTGCCAGGATTACAGGTGTGAGCCACTGCGCCCGGCCCAGAAATTATTTTCTTAATGTATTTGTTGGGGACAGGTTGAGGGGAGATTAGATAAAGAAAAACATGCAGACATAAACTATTAAACTTTTCCAAAAGTCCACACAAAGCCTATCTTCTAAATATGCCACTACAGCATTTGCACGAACTGAGTGTAAGCAACTAGCTTTGAGACTCAAAACAAGGAGTGAGAATAAAAAACCCTTTTCCAAACGAAAAAAAGTATAAATTACACTGGGACTCAGGACCTATGCCAGAAATGGACAATTGACAAAAGATCTGAAAAAGTGGATATCCTGAAATAAGGGCTTTTGCATGTATCAGTGATACACGCAATTGCCGCCAATATAATTTTCCCGGAAGTTTACAGAAAGGGGCTATAATCAAGAGGCAGAGAAGCACCTAACACATCTGCTGCCAGCTAATCAGAGAGGATTCATGACATTATATGATGACAGCTGCTCTCTACAAGTGGGAGTTATATGATTTTTAATTTTCTATTCCTTTTTTCGACCTCTCCAATGCTCATTTTGTGGCTACAGAGAATCTCCCAGGTTAACGAAAACATACCAGTTGTTCATTCAGTTCCAAAACCTGGAAATGGACATTAGCTCTCAATGAAAATCAGCTTAGATTGGGCACCAAACTGACTTCAGAACAATGACTACCATCATTGGCAGTTTCCTCCTTGCTTCCTCCAGAACCCTTCTCCTCCTTCCCTTCTTTTCAATGTTTTCATAGGCAATGGCCTGAGTTTACCATTTTCTATAAAAGGACTACAGAGGGGCTCTAATTAGCACCCTAGTCAGTTCCCAGTCTTGAAGCTAGTTCTTCTACTTTGGACAGTATCTCTGGGTGTGAATACTCTCACTCAATTTTTTATTATACTAAGATGTTAAAAGAGTGGGGAAAGGCTTACCTAATTCTCTTAGAAAAATTCTCTTAGAAAAACATATACCAGTAAGATCATGATATTGATATATTAATATTACTTTTACACACACGCAATTATATATATCCATCCATTACAGTTTTTTTAAATAGAGTAAAAGAGGAATGAAGTTTTACCTGTTTTTGCAGAACATATAAAATTCATAAGATTCTTGAAAATAAAGATTATTCATATAACTTCAAAATTTAGTAGGTAACTGTCACCCTGCTAATGATATACGATATAATCTAGTCAAACAAGTTCCTAGAAAGCAATAGAGGATTTGAGTTAATCAAGTATTACCAAAAGTACGGTTGCCCAGCAAAGATCAGGAAACTATTTCTTGTTTCTACCTCCAGAATCTCTTCTTTCCTTTTTTTTTTCTTTTTTGAGACAGAGTCTCACTTTATCACCAAGGCTGGAGCACAGTGGTGCAATCTCAGCTCACTGCAACCTGCCCCTCCCAGGTTCAAGCAATTCTCCTGCCTCAGTCTCCCAAGTAGCTGGAATTACAGATGCCTGCTACCACACCCGGCTAATTTTTGTATTTTTAGTAGAAACGGGATTTCACCATGTTGGCCAGGCTAGTCCCAAACTCCTGACCTCAGGTGATCTGCCTGCCTCAGCCTCCCAAAGTGCTGGGATTACAGGCATAAGCCAGCGCGCCCAGCCCAGAATCTTTTCTAATAATGTTTCTGTTTCTCCTTGAAAATGTCCTTTTTTTTTTTTGGCCTCATTAACTACAGTAAACCTGATAGGAATTTGGCAGGACTCGTTTCAACAAGATGCAGGTCACAAAGACCTTGCTGATAAAACATGGTAAGAAGCAGGCCAAAACCCACCAAAACCAAGATGGCAACAAAAGAGACCTCTGGTTGTCCTCACTGCTAATTATAGCTAATTATAATTATGTATGCTAATTAGCATGCTAAAAGACACTCCCAGCAGCCAGACTGCCTCTCTAGATTTCTCCTATCTGTACAAAGCATCTCTGAAAGAAAGGCAGCAGCCCCAGTCAGGGGTTTAAACTCCCATCTCCCTGGGACAGAGCACCTGGGGGAAAGGGCAGCTGTGGGCAAAGCTTCAGCAAACTTAAAAGTTCCTGCCTGCCAGCTCTGAAGAGAGCAGCAGATCTCCCAGCAAAGCGCTTGAGCCCTGCTAAGGGACAGACTGCCTCCTCAAATGGGTCCCTTACCCCCGTGCCTCCTGATTGGGAGATACCTCCCAGCAGGGGTCAACAGACACCTTGTACAGGAGAGCTCTGTCTGGCATGTGGAGGGTGCCCCTCTGGGACGAAGCTTCCAGAGGAAGGAAGAGGGAGCAATCTTTGCTGTTCTGAAGCCTCCACTGGTGATACCCAGGCAAACAGGGTCTGGAATGGACCTCCAGCAAACTCCAGCAGACCTGCAGCAGAGGACCCTGACTGTTAGAAGGAAAACTAACAAACAGAAATGAATAGCATCAACATCAACAAAAAAGATGTTCACATAGAAACCCCATCCGAAGGTCACCAACATCAAAGACCAAAGGTAGATAAATTCATGAAGATGAGGAAAAACCAGAGCAAAAAGACTGAAAATTCCAAAAACCAGAACACCTCTTCTCTGAAGGATCACAACTCCTCACCAGCAAGGGAATAAAACTGGATGGAAAATAAGTGTGATGAATTGACAGAAGTAGGCTTCAGAAGGTGGGTGATAAAAAACTCCTCTGAGCTA